>NT_187424.1:0-48496 GCF_000001405.40 Homo sapiens
ATTCAGTGGAGTGGATTGGAGCACTTTGAGACCTATGGTGGAAAAGGAAATATCTTCACATGAAACCTAGACAGAAGAATTCTGAGAAAATTCTTTGTGATGTGTGCGGTCTTCTCACAGAGTTGAACCTTTCTTTTTATTGAACAGTTTGGAAACACTCTTTTTGTAGAATCTGCAAGTGGACATTTGGAGCGATTTGAGGCATATTTAAAAAAAATCTTCACATGAAAACTAGACGGAAGCATTCTGACAAACTTCTTTGTGATATGTGCATTCATCTCAAACAGTTGAAATTTTCTTTTGATTCAGCAGTTTGAAACACCCTTTTTGTAATATTTGCAAGTGGACATTTGGCGTGCATTGAGGCCTATGATGGAAAAGGAAATATCTTCACAAAAACTAGACAGAAGCATTCTGAAAAATTTCTTTGTGATGTGCGCATTCATCTCACAGGTTTGAACCTTTCATTTGATTGAACAGCTTTGAAACACTTTGTACAATCTGCATGTGGGAATTTGGAGCCCTTTGAAGCCTATGGTGGAAAAGGAAGTATCTTCATATAAAAACTATACAGAAACATTCTGACAAACTTCTTTGTGATGTGTGCATTCATCTCAGATTTGAACCTTTCTTTTGATTGAGCAGTTTGGAAACACTCTTTTTGTACAATCTGCAAGTGGATATTTGGAGAGTTTTCAGGCCTATGGTGGAAAAGGAAATATTTTCACATAAAAACTAGACAGAAGCATTCTGAGAAAGTTCTTTGTGATGTGTGAATTCACCTCACAGACTGGAAATTTTCTTTTGATTGAGCAGTTTGGAAACACTCTTTTTGTAGAATCTGCAAGTGGACATTTTGAGCACTGCGAGGCCTAGTGTGGAAAAGGCAACATCTTCACATCGAAACTAGACAGAATCATTCTGACAAACTTCTTTTGGATGTGTGCATGCAGCTCCCAGAGTTGAACCTTACTTTCGATTGAGCAGGTCTGAAAAACCCTTTTGGTAGAATCTGCAAGTGGACATTTGGAGCGCTTTGCAGGCTATGGTGGAAAAGGAAATATTTTCACGTAAAAACTAGACAGAATCATTCTGACAAACTTCTTTGTGATGTGTGCATTCATCTGACAGGGTTGGAATTTTCTTTTGGTTGATCAGTTTTGAAACACATTTTGTAGAATTTGCAAAAGGACATTTGGAGTGCTTTGAGGACTGCGGTGGAAAAGAAAATATCTTCACTTAGTTGCTAGACAGAAGCTTTCTGAGAACCTTCTTTGTGATGTGTGCATTCATCTCACAGAATTTAACCTTACTTTTGATTGAGCTGTTTTGAAACACTCTTATTGTAGAATCTGCAATAGGACATTTGGAGCGCTTTGCGAACTATGGTGGAAAAGGAAATATCTTCACATAAAAACTAGTCAAAAGATTTCTGACAAACTTCATCTCACAGAGCTGAATCTTACTTTCGATTGAGCAGTTTTGAAACACTTTTTTTGTAGAATCTGCAGGTGGACATCTGGAGTGCTTTGAGACCTAAGTTGGAAAATGAAACATCTTCACATAATAAATAGAAGCATTCTCAGAAACTACTTTGTGATGTGTGCACTCATCTCACAGAGTTGAAACTTTCTTTTGATTGAGTAGCTTTGAAACACTCTTTTTGTAGACCCTGCAAGTGGACATTTGGAGTGCTAGGAGGTCTATGGTGGAAAACTAAATATCTTAACATAAAATCCTACAGAAATATTCTGAGAAACTACTTTGTGATGTGTGCATTCATCTCACAAAGCTGAAACTTTCTTTTGATTGAGCAGTTTTGAAACACTCTTTTTGTAGTATCTGAAAGCGTACATTTGGAGCGCTTTGGAGCCTATGGTGGAAAAGGAACTATCTTCACATAAAAACTAGACAGAATCATTCTGAGAAAATTCTTTGTGATGTGTGCATTCATCTTAGAGAGTTGAACTTTCTTTTGATTGAGCAGTTTTGAAAAACTCATTTGTAGAATCTGCAATTCGTTATTTGGAGCGCTTTGAGGCCTATGGTGGAAAAGGAAATATCTTCACATAAAACTAGACAGAAGCATGCTGAGAAACTTCTTTATGATGTGTGCACTCATCTCACAGACTCGAAACTTTCTTTTGATTCAGCAGTTTGGAAACACTCTATTTGTGGAATCTGCAAGTGGATATTCGGAGTGCTATACTGCCTATAGTGGAAAAGGAAATATCTTCACATAAAAATTAGACAGAAGCATTCTGAGCAACTCTTTTGACATGTGTGCATTCGCGTGACAGAGTTGAAATTTTCTTATGATGGAGCAGTTTTGAAACATTCTTTTTTAGAATCTGCAAGTGGATATTTGGAGTGCTTTGAGGTCTGTTTTGGAAAAGGAAATATCTTCACATAAAAACTAGACAGAAGCATTCTGAGAAACTTCTTTGTAATGTGTCCATTCATCTCACAGAGTTGGAGAATTTTCGATTTAGCAGTTTTGAAATACTCTTTTTGTAGAATCTACAAGTGGACATTTTGGGAGCTTTGAGGCCTATGGTAGAAAACAAAATATCTTCACATAAAATCTAGACAGAAGCAAAATGAGAAATTTCTTTGGGATGTGTGCATTCATCTCACAGAGGTAAAACTTTCTTTTGATTGAGCAGTTTTGAAACTCTCTTTTTGTAGGATCTGTAAGTGGACTTTTGGAGTGCTTTGAGTCCCACGGTGGAAAAGGAAATATCTTCACATAAAAGCTAGACAGAAGAATTCTGAGAAACGTCTTTGTGATCTGTGCGTTCAAATCACAGAGTTGAAATTTTCTTTTGATTGAGCAGTTTGGAAACACTATATTTTTAGAATCTGCAAGTGGACATTTGGAGTGCTTTGCAGCCTATGTTAGAAAAGGAAATATCTTCGCATAAAATCTAGACAGAAGCAAACTGAGAAACTTCTTTGTGATGTGCTCATTCATCTCAGAGAGTGAAACCTTTCTTTTGATTGAGCAGTTCTGAAACTCTTTTTGTTGAATCTGCAAGAGGAAATTGGGAGGGCTTTGAGGCCTAGGGTGGAAAAGGAAATATCTTCACAAAAAACAAGACAGAAGAGTTCTGAGAAACTTTTTTGTGAGGTGTGCGTTCATCTCACAGAGTTGAACCTTTCTTTTGATTGAGCAGTTTTTTTTAACTTATTTATTTATTATTATACTTTAAGTTTTAGGGTACATGTGCACATTGTGCAGGTTAGTTACATATGTATACATGTGCCACGGTGGTGCGCTGCACCCACCAACTCGTCATCTAGCATTAGATATATCTCCCAATGCTATCCCACCCCCTCCCCCCACCCCACAACAATCCCCAGAGTGTGATATTCCCCTTCCTGTGTCCATGTGATCTCATTGTTCAATTCCCACGTATGAGTGAGAATATGCGGTGTTTGGTTTTTTGTTCTTGCGATAGTTTACTGAGAATGATGATTTCCAATTTCATCCATGTCCCTACAAAGGACATGAACCCATCATTTTTTATGGCTGCATAGTATTCCATGGTGTATATGTGCCACATTTTCTTAATCCAGTCTATCATTGTTGGACATTTGGGTTGGTTCCAAGTCTTTGCTATTGTGAATAATGCCTCAATAAACATACGTGTGCATGTGTCTTTATAGCAGCATGATTTATAGTCCTTTGGGTATATACCCAGTAATGGGATGGCTGGGTCAAATGGTATTTCTATTTCTAGATCCCTGAGGAATCGCCACACTGACTTCCACAATGGTTGAACTAGTTTACAGTCCCACCAACAGTGTAAAAGTGTTCCTATTTCTCCACATCCTCTCTAGCACCTGTTGTTTCCTGACTTTTTAATGATTGCCATTCAAACTGGTGTGAGATGGTATCTCATTGTGGTTTTGATTTGCATTTCTCTGATGGTCAGTGATGATGAGCATTTTTTCATGTGTTTTTTGGCTGCATAAATGTCTTCTTTTGAGAAGTGTCTGTTCATGTACTTTGCCCACTTTTTGATGGGGTTGTTTGTTTTTTTCTTGTCAATTTGTTTGAGTTCATTGTAAATTCTGGATATTAGCCCTTTGTCAGATGAGTAGGTTGCGAAAATTTTCTCCCATTTTGTAGGTTGCCTCTTCACTCTGATGGTCGTTTATTTTGCTGTGCAGAAGCTCTTTAGTTTAATTAGATCCCATTTGTCAATTTTGTCTTTTGTTGCCATTGCTTTTGGTGTTTTAGACATGAAGTCCTTGCCCATGCCTATGTCCTGAATGGTATTGCCTAGGTTTCCTTCTAGGGTTTTTATGGTTGTAGGTCTAACGTTTAAGTCTTTAATCCATCTTGAATTGATTTTTGTATAAGGTGTAAGGAAGGGATCCAGTTTCAGCTTTCTACATACGGCTAGCCAGTTTTCCCAGCACCATTTATTAAATAGGGAATCCTTTCTCCATTGCTTGCTTTTCTCAGGTTTGTCAAAGATCAGATGGTTGTAGATATGCGGCATTATTTCTGAGGGCTCCGTTCTGTTCCATTGATCTATATCTCCGTTTTGGTACCAGTACCATGCTGTTTTGTTTACTGTAGCCTTGTAGTATAGTTCGAAGTCAGGTAGCGTGATGCCTCCAGCTTTGTTCTTTGGCTTAGGATTGACTTGGCAATGCGGGCTCTTTTTTGGTTTCATATGAAGTTTAAAGTAGTTTTTTCAAATTCTGTGAAGAAAGGCATTGGTAGCTTGATGGGGTTGGCATTGAATCTATCAATTACCTTGGGCAGTATGGCCATTTTCACGATATTGATTCTTCCTACCCATGAGCATGGAATGTTCTTCCATTTGTTTGTATCCTCTTTTATTTCATTGAGGAGTGGTTTGTAGTTCTCCTTGAAGAGGTCCTTCACATCCCTTGTTAGTTGGATTCCTAGGTATTTTATTCTCTTTGAAGCAATTGTGAATGGGAGTTCACTCATGATTTGGCTGTCTGTTTTTCTGTTGTTGGTGCGTAAGAATGCTTCTGATTTTTGTACATTGATTTTGTATCCTGAGACTTTGCTGAAGTTGCTTATCAGCTTAAGAAGACTTTGGGCTGAGACAATGAGGTTTTGTAGATATACAATCATGTCGTCTGCAAACAGGGACAATTTGATTTCCTCTTTTCTTAATTGAATACCCTTTATTTCCTTCTCTTGCCTAATTGCCCTGGCCAGAACTTCCAACACTATGTTGAATAGGAGTGGTGAGAGAGGGCATCCCTGTCTTGTGCCAGTTTTCAAAGGGAATGTTTCCAGTTTTTGCCCATTCAGTATGATATTGGCTGTGGGTTTTTCATAGATAGCTCTTATTATTTAAAGATACGTCCCATCAACACCTAATGTATTGAAAGTTTTTAGCATGAAGGGTTGTTGAATTTTGTCAAAGGCTTTTTCTGCATCTGTTGAGATAATCATATGGTTTTTGTCTTTGGCTCTGTTTATATGCTGGATTAGATTTATTTATTTGTGTATATTGAACCAGCCTTGCATCCCAGGGATGAAGCCCACTTGATCATGGTGGATAAGCTTTTTGATGTGCTGCTGGATTCGTTTTGCTAGTATTTTATTGAGTATTTTTGCATCAATGTTCATCAAGGATATTGGTCTAAAATTCTCTTTGTTCGTTGTGTGTCTGCACAGCTTTGGTATCAGGTTGATGCTGGCCTCATAAAATGAGTTAGGGAGGATTCCCTTTTTTTCTATTGATTGGAATAGTTTCAAAAGGAATGGTAACAGTTCCTCCTTGTACCTCTGGTAGGATTCAGCTGTGAATCCTTCTGGTCCTGGACTCTTTTTGGTTGGTAAACTATTGAATATTGCCACAATTTCAGCTCCTGTTATTGGTCTATTCAGAGATTCAACTTCTTCCTGGTTTAGTGTTGGGGAGTGCATGTGTCAAGGAATTTATCCATTTCTTCTAGATTTTCTAGTTTATTTGCGTAGAGGTGTTTGTAGTATTCTCTAATGGTAGTTTGTATTTCTGTGGGATCGGTGGTGATATCCCCTTTACCATTTTTATTGCATCTATTTGATTCCTCTCTCTTTTTTTCTTTATTAGTCTTGCTAGAGGTCTATCAATTTTGTTGATCCTTTCAAAAAACCAGCTCCTGGATTCATTAATTTTTTGAAGGGTTTTTTGTGTCTCTATTTCCTTCAGTTCTTCTCTGATTTTAGTTATTTCTTGCCTTCTGCTAGCTTTTGAATGTGTTTGCTCTTGCTTTTCTAGTTCTTTTAATTGTGATATTAGGGTGTCAATTTTGGATCTTTCCTGCTTTCTCTTGTGGGCATTTAGTGCTATAAATTTCCCTCTACACACTGCTTTGAATGCATCCCAGAGATTCTGTTATGTTGTGTCTTTGTTCTCATTGGTTTCAAAGCAAATCTTTATTTCTGCCTTCATTTTGTTATGTACCCTATAGTCATTCGGGAGCAGGTTGTTCAGTTTCCATGTATTTGAGCGGTTTTGAGTGAGATTCTTAATCCTGAGTTCTAGTTTGATTGCACTGTGGTCTGAGAGATAGTTTATAATAGTTTCTGTTCTTTTACATTTGCTGAGGAGAGCTTTACTTCCAACTATGTGGTCAATTTTGGAATAGGTGTGGTGTGGTGCTGAAAAAATGTATATTCTGTTGATTTGGGGTGGAGAGTTCTGTAGATGTCTATTAGGTCCGCTTGGTGCAGCGCTGAGTTGAATTGCTGGGTATCCTTGTTGACTTTCTGTCTCATTGATCTGTCTAATGTTGACAGTGGGGTGTTAATGTCTCCCATTATTAATGTGTGGGAGTCTAAGTCTCTTTGTAGGTCACTAAGCACTTGCTTTATGAATCTGGGTGCTCCTGTATTTGGTGCATATATATTTAGGATAGTTAGCTCTTCTTGTTGAATTGATCCCTTTACCATTATGTAATGGCCTTCTTTGTCTCTTTTGATCTTTGTTGGTTTAAAGTCTGTTTTATCAGAGACTAGGATTGCAAACCCTGCCTTTTTTTGTTTTCCATTTGCTTGGTAGATCTTCCTCCATCCTTTTATTTTGAGCCTATGTGTGTCTCTGCACGTGAGATGGGTTTCCTGAATACAGCACACTGATGGTTCTTGACTGTTTATCCAATTTGCCAGTCTGTGTCTTTTAATTGGAGCATTTATTCCATTTACATTTAAAGTTAATATTGTTATGTGTGAATTTGTTCCTGTCATTATGATGTTAGCTGGTTATTTTGCTCGTTAGTTGATGCAGTTTCTTCCTAGTCTCGATGGTCTTTACATTTTGGCATGATTTTGCAGTGGCTGGTACTGGTTGTTCCTTTCCATGTTTAGCACTTTCTTCAGGAGCTCATTTAGGGCAGGCCTGGTGGTGACAAAATCTCTCAGCATTTGATTGTCTGTAAAGTATTTTATTTCTCCTTCACTTATGAAGCTTAGTTTGGCTGGATATGAAATTCTGGGTTGAAAATTCTTTTCTTTAAGAATGTTGAATATTGGCCCCCACTCTCTTCCAGCTTGTAGGGTTTCTGCTGAGAGATCCGCTGTTAGTCTGATGGACTTCCCTTTGAGGGTAACCCGACCTTTCTCTCTGGCTGCCCTTAACATTTTTTCCTTCATTTCAACTTTGGTGAATCTGACAATTATGTTCTTGAAGTTGCTCTTCTCGAGGAGTATCTTTGTGGTGTTCTCTGTATTTCCTGAATCTGAACGTTGGCCTGCCTTGCTAGATTGGGGAAGTTCTCCTGGATAATATCCTGCAGAGTGTTTTCCAACTTGGTTCCATTCTCCCCATCACTTTCAGGTACACCAATCAGACGTAGATTTGGTCTTTTCACATAGTCCCATATTTCTTGGAGGCTTTGCTCATTTCTTTTTATGCTTTTTTCTCTAAACTTCCTTTCTCGCTTCATTTCATTCATTTCATCTTCCATCGCTGATACCCTTTCTTCCAGTTGATGGCATCGGCTCCTGAGGCTTCTGCATTCTTCACGTAGTTCTCGAGCCTTGGTTTTCAGCTCCATCAGCTCCTTTAAGCACTTCTCTGTATTGGGTTATTCTAATTATACATTCTTCTAAATTTTTTTCAAAGTTTCCAACTTCTTTGCCTTTGGTTTGAATGTCCTCCCATAGCTCAGAGTAATTTGATTGTCTGAAGGCTTCTTCTCTCAGCTCATCAAAGTCATTCTCCATCCAGCTTTGTTCCGTTGCTGGTGAGGAACTGTGTTTCTTTTGAGGAGGAGAGGCACTCTGCTTTTTAGAGTTTCCAGTTTTTCTGTTCTGTTTTTTCCCCATCTTTATGGTTTTATCTACTTTGGTCTTTGATGATGGTGATATACAGATGGGTTTTTGTTGTGGATGTCCTTTCTGTTTGTTAGTTTTCCTTCTAACAGACAGGTCCCTCAGCTGCAGGTCTGTTCCAGTTTTGAAACATTCTTTTTGTAGAATCTGCAAGTGGACATTTGGAGTGCCTTGCAACCTATGGTAGCAAAGGAAATATCTTCACATAAAATCTAGACAGAAGCAACCTGAGAAACCTCTTTGTGATGTGTGCATTCATGTCACAGAGTTAAACATTTCTTTTGATGGAGCAGTTTTGAAACTCTCTTTTTGTAGGTCCTGTAAGTGGATATTTGGAGCGTTTTGAGGCCTACGGTGGAAAAGGAAATACCTTCACATAAAAACTAGAGAGAAGAATTCTGAGAAACTTCTTTGTGATTTGTACATTCATCTCACAGAGTTGAAACTTTCTTTTGATGGAGCAGTTTTGAAACTCTCTTTTTGTAGAATCTGCAAGTGGACGTTTGGAGAGCTTTGAAGCCTATGGTGTAAAAGGAAATATCTTCACATGAAAACCAAATAGAAGCTTTCTGAGAAACTTCTTTGTGATATATGCATTCATGTCCCTGACTTGAGCATTTTTTTTTGAAGGACCAGTTTTGAAATACTCTTTTTGTAGAATCTGCAAGTGGACATTTCGAGTGTCTTGAGGCCTATGGTGGAAAAGAAAATATCTTCACATAAAAACTGGACAGAAGCATTCTGAGAAACCTCTTTGTGATGTGTACATTCATATCTCAAAGTTTAATCTTTCTTATGAAGGATCAGTTTTGAAATCCTCTTTTTGAAGGATCTGCAAGCGGACATTTTGTGCGCCTTGAGGCCTATGCTGGAAAAGGAAATATCTTCACATAAAATCTAGACAGAAGCAATCTGAGAAAATTCTTTCTGATGTGTGCATTCATCTCACAGAGTTAAACCTTTCTTTTGATTAAGCAGTTTTGAAACTCTTTTTGTAGAATCTGCAAGTGGACATTTGGAGTGCTTTGCGGCCTATGATAGAAAAAGAAATATCTTCACATAAAATCTAGACAGAAGCCATCTGAGAAATTTCTTTGTGATGTTTGCATTCATCTCATAGAGTTAAAATTTTCTTTGAATGAGCAGTTTTGAAACTCTCTTTTGTAGAATCTGCAAGTGGACATTTGGAGCGCTTTGAGACCTATGATAGGAAAGGATATATCTTCACATAAAATCTAGACAGAAGCAATCTGAGAAACTACACTGTGATGTATGTATTCATGTCACAGAATTAAACCTTTCTTTTAATTGAGCAGTTTTTTTTTAGAATCTGCTAGTGGACGTTTAAGGCGCTTTGAGTTCTATGACGGAAATGGAAATATCTTCACCTAAAAACTAAGCAGAAGGTTTCTGAGAAACTTCTTTTTGATGTGTACGTTCATCTCACAGAGTTGAACCTTTCTTTTATTGAGCAGTTTGGAAACACTCTTTTTACAGAATCTGCAAGAGTATATTTGGAGAGTTTTGAGGCCTATGAAGGAAAAGAAATATCTTCAGAAAAAAACTATTTAGAAACATTCTGAGAAACTTCTTTGTGATGTGTGCATTCATTTCCCAGAATTCAACATTTCTTTTTATGGACCAGTATTGAAATAATCTTTTTGTTGGATCTGCAAGTGGACATTTGGAGCACCTTGGGGCCTATGGTGGAAAATGAAATATCTTCACATAATAACTAGGCAGAATAATTCCAGGAAACTTCAATTGTGATGTGTACATTCATCTCACAGAGTTGAACCTTTCTTTTGATTGAGAAGTTTGCAAACACTCTTTTGGAGAATCTGCAAGTGGAAAATTTGTACGCTTTGCAGTCAATGGTAGAAACGGAATAATCTTCAATTAAAATCTACACAGAAGCAATCTGAGAAACTTCTTTGTGACATGTGCATTCATCTCACAGAGTTAAACCTTTCTTTTGATTGAGCAGTTTTGAACTCTCTTTTTATATAATATGCAAGTGGACTTTTGAAGAGATATGAGGCCTACGGTGGGAAAGGAAATATCTTCACATAAAAACTAGAAAGAAGAATTCTGAGAAACTTCTTTGTGATGCATGTGTTCATCTCACAGATTTGAACCTTTGTTTAGATTGAGTAGTTTGGAAACACTCTTTTTGTAAAATCTACAAGTGGACATTTGGAGCCCTTTGCTGCCTAAGGTAGAAAAGAAATATCTTCACATAAAATCTAGACAGAAGCAATCTGAGAAACTTCTTTGTGATGAGTGCATTCATCTCACAGAGTTAAACCTTTCTTTGGATTGAGCAGTTTTGAAATTCTCTTTTTGTAGAATCTGCAAGTGAATATTTGGTGGGCTTTGAGGACTTTGGTTGAAAAGAAAATATCTTTATATTAAATTTAGACAGAAGAATTCTGAGAAACTACTTTGTGATTTGTGCATTCATCTCACAGAGTTGAATCTTTCTTTTGATTGAGCAGTTTGGAAACAATCATTTGTAGGATCTGCAAATGGACATTTGGAGCGCTTTGCGGCCTGTGGTAGAAAAGGAAATATCTTCACATAAAATCTAGAAAGAAGCAATCTGAGAAACTTCTTTCTGATGTGTGCATTCATGTCACAGAGTTAAAACTTTCTTTTGATTGAGCAGTTTTGAACCTCTCTTTTTGTAGAATCTGCAAGTGGATATTTAGAGCGATTTGATACCTATGGTGGAAAAGAAAATATCTTCACAAAAAAACTAGACAGAAGAATTCTGAAAAACTACTTTGTGATGTGTGCGTTCATCTCACAGAGTTCAAAGTTCTTTTTGATGGAGCATTTTGGAAACACTCATTTTCTAGAATCTTCAGGTAGACATTAGGAGGGCTTTGAGGCCTATGGTGAAAAAGGAAATATCTTCACATGAAAACTAGAGAGAAGAATTCTGTGAAAGTTCTTTTGTTGTGGGCGTTCATCTCACACAGATGAACCTTCTTTTAATTGAGCAGTTTGGAGACTCTCCTTCTTTAGAATCTGTAAGTGGACATTTGGAGCCCTTTGTGGCCTATGGTAGAAAAGGAAGTATCTTCATATAAATCTCTGCCGAAACAACCAGATAAACTTCTTTGTGATGTGTGCATTCATCTGACAGAGTTGAACGTTTCTTTTGATTGAGCAGTTTGGAAACTCTCTTTTTGTAGAATCTGCAAGTGGACATTTTGAGGGCTTTGAGGACTAAGGTGGAAAAGGAAATATCTTCAGATAAAAACTAGACAGAAGGACTCTGAAAAACTTCTTTGTGATATGTGCGTTCATCTCACAGAGTTGAACCTTTCTTTTGATTGAGCAGTTTGGAAACACACTTTTTGTAGAATCTGCCAGTGTACATTTGGAGTGCTTGGCAGCCTATAGTAGAAAGGGAAATATCTTCATCTTATGTCTAGACAGAAGCAATCTGAGAAACTTCTTTGTGATGTGTGCATTCATCTCCAAGAGCCGAACCTTCCTTTTGATGTATCAGTTTTGAAATACTCTTTTTGTAGAATCTGCAAGTGGACATTTGGAACGCCTTGGGGCTTATGGTAGAAAAGGATATATCTTCATTTAAAATCTAGACAGAAGCAATCTGAGAAACTTCTTTGTGATGTAAGCATTCATCTGACAGAGTTAAACCTTTCTTTTGATTGAGCAGTTTGGAAACTCTTTTTTTGTAGAACCTGCACGTGGACATTTGGAGCATTTTGCAGCCTATGGTAGAAAAGGAAATATCTACACATAAAATCTAGACAGAAGCTATCTGAAAATCTTTGTGATGCATGCATTCATATTCCAGAGTAAAACCTTTCTTTTGATTCAGCAGTTTTGAAACTCTCTTTTTGTGTAATCTGCAAGTGGACATTTGGAGGGCTTTGAGGCCGATGGTGGAAAAGGAAATATCTTCAAAAATAAACTAGACATAAGCATTCTGAATAACTTCTTCATGATGTGTGCATTCATCTCCCAGAGTTGAACCTCTCTTTTAATGGACCAGTTTTGAAATACTCTTTTTGTAGAATCTGCAAGTGGACATTTCTTGCACCTTGAGGCCTCTAGTGGGAAAAGAAATACTTTCACATAAAAACGAGACAGAAGAATTCTGAGAAACTTCTTTGTGATTTGTGTGTTCATATTACAGAGGTGAACCTTTCTTTTGATTGAGCAGTTTGGAAACACTCTTTTTGTAGAATCTGCCAGTGGACATTTGGTGCGCTTTGAGGCTTATGGTAGAAAAGGAAATCTCTTCACAGTAAATCCAGACAGAAGCAATCTGAGAAACTTCTTTGTGATGTGTGCATTAATCTCACAGAGTGAAAACTTACTTTCAATGGAGTAGTTTTGAAACTCTATTTTTGTAGAATCTGCAAACTGACATTGGGAGTGCTTTGAGGCCTACAGTGGAAAAGGAAATATGTTCACATAAAAACTAGACAGAAGCATTCTGAGGAACTTGTTTGTGATGTGTGCATTCATCTCAAAGAGTTGAAACTTTCTTTTGATGGACCAGGTTTGAAATACTCCTTTTGTGGAATCTGCCAGGGGGCATTTCGAGCACCTTGAGGCTACGGTGGAAAGTGAAATATCTTCATATAAAATCTTGACAGAAGCAATCGTAGAAACTTCTCTGTGATGTGTGCATTCATCTCACTAAGTGAAACCTTTCTTTTGATTGAGCAGTTTTGAAACTCTCTTTTTGTTGAATCTGCAGTTGGACACTGGCAGCGCTTTGAGGCCTAAGTTGGAAAAGGAAATAGCTTCACATAAAAACTAGACAGAAGCGTTCTGAGAAACTTCTTTGTAATGTGTGCGTTCATTTCAGAGTTGAACCTTTCTTTTGATTGAGCAGTTTTGAAACACTCTTATTGTAGAATCTGCATGTGGAGATTTGGAGAACTTTGTGGCCTATGGTAGAAAAGGAAATATCTTCACATAAAGTCTAGACAGAAGCAATCTGTGAAAATTCTTTGTGATGTGTGCATTCACCTCACAGAATAAAACCTTTCTTTTGATTGAGCACTTTTAAAACTCTCTTTTTGTAGGATCTGCAAGTGGACATTTGGAGCACCTTGAGTCCTATGATGGAGAAGGAAATATCTTCCCTTAAAAAATTAACAGAAGTATTCTGAGAAATTTCCTTTTTATGTGTGTGTTCATCTCACAGAGTTGAACCTTTGTTTGATTGAGCAGTTTGGAAACTCTCTTTTTGTAGAATCTGCAAGTGGACATTTGGAGTGTTTTGCAGCCTATGGTAGAAAAGGAAATATCTTTACATACAATCTAGACAGAAGTAATCTGAGAATCTTCTCTGTGATGTGTGCATTCATCTCACAGAGTTAAGACTTTATTATGATTGAACACTTTTCAAACTCTCTTTTTGTAGAATCTGCAATTGGACATTTGGAAGGCTTTGGGGCCTATGGTGGAAAAGGAAATATCTTCACATAAAAACAAGATAGAAGCATTCTGAGAAACTTCGTGATGTGTGCATTCATCTCCCAGAGTTGAACCTTTCTTTTGATGGACCAGTTTTGAAATACTGTTTTTGTAGGATCTGCAAGTGGACATTTTGAGCGCCTTGAGGCCTACAGTGGAAAAGGAAATATCTTCACATAGAAACTAGAGAGAAGAATTCTGAGAAACTTCTTTGTGATGTGTGCATTCATCTCACAGAGTTCAACCTTTCTTTTGATTGAGCAGTTTGGAAACACTGTTTTTGTAGGATCTGCAAGGGGCATTTGGAGTGCTTTTGGTTCTATGGTGGAAAAGGAAATAACTTCATATAAAATCTAGACAGAACTTCCAACACTATGTTGAATAGGGGTGGTGAAAGAGGGCATTCCTGTCTTGTACCTGTTTTCAAAGGGAATGCTTCCAGTTTTTGCCCATTTAGTATGATATTGGCTGTGGGTTTGTCATAGATAGCTCTTATTATTTTGAAATATGTCCCATCAATACCTAATTTATTGAGAGTTTTTAGCATGAAGGGTTGTTGAATTTTGTCAAAGGCCTTTTCTGCATCTATTGAGATAATCATGTGTTTTTTGTCACTGGCTCTGTTTATATGCTGGATTACATTTATTGATTTGTGTATATTGAACCAGCCTTGCATCCTAGGGATGAAGCCCACTTGATCATGGTGGATAAGCTTTTTGATGTGCTGCTGGATTCGTTTTGCCAGTATTTTATTGAGGATTTTTGCATCAATGTTCATCAAGGGTATTGGTCTAAAAATTTTTTTTTTGGTTGTGTCTCTGACAGGCTTTGGTATCAGAATGATGCTGGCCTCATAAAATGAGTTAGGGAGGATTTGCTCTTTTTCTATTGATTGGAATAGTTTCAGAAGGAATGGTACCAGTTACTCCTTGTACCTCTGGTAGAATTCGGCTGTGAATCCATCTGGTCCTGGACTCTTTTTGGTTGGGAAGCTATTGATTATTGCCACAATTTCAGTTCCTGTTATTGGTCTATTCAGAGATTCAACTTCGTCCTGGTTTAGTTTTGGGAGAGTTTATGTGTTGAGGAATTTATCCATTTCTTCTAGATTTTCTAGTTTATTTGTGTAGAGGTGTTTGTAGTATTCTCTGAGGGTAGTTTGTATTTCTGTGGGACCGGTGGTGATATCCCCTTTATCACTTTTTATTGCATCTATTTGATTCTTCTCTTTTTTTTTCTTTGTTAGTCTTGCTAGTGATCTATCAATTTTGTTGATCCTTTCAAAAAACCAGCTCCTGGATTCATTAATTTTTTGAAGGGTTTTTTGTGTGTCTATTTCCTTCAGTTCTTCTCTGATTTTAGTTATTTCTTGCCTTCTGCTAGATTTTGAATGTGTTTGCTCTTGCTTTTCTAGTTCTTTTAATTGTGATGTTAGGGTGTCAATTTTGCTTCTTTCCTGCTTTCTCTTGTGGGCATTTAGTACTATAAATTTCCCTCTACACACTGCTTTGAATGCGTCCCAGAGATTCTGGTATGTTGTGTCTTTGTTCTCATTGGTTTCAAAGAACATCTTTATTTCTGTGTTCATTTCGTTATATACCCAGTAGTCATTCAGGAGCAGGTTGTTCAGTTTCCATGTAGTTGAGCAGCTTTGAGTGAGATTCTTAATCCTGAGGTCTAGTTTGATTGCACCGTGGTCTGAGAGAGAGTTTGTTATAATTTCTGTTCTTTTACATTTGCTGAGGAGAGCTTTACTTCCAACTACGTGGTCAATTTTGGAATAGGTGTGGTGTAATGCTGAAAAAAAATGTATATTCTGTTGATTTGGTGTGGCTGGTGCTGGGAAAACTGGCTAGCCATATGTAGAAAGCTGAAACTGGATCCCTTCCTTACACCTTATACAAAAATCAATTCAAGATGGATTAAAGACTTAAACGTTAGACCTAAAACCATAAAAACCCTAGAAGAAAACCTAGGCAATACCATTGAGGACATAGGCATGGGCAAGGTCTTCATGTCTGAAACACCAAAAACAATGGTAACAAAAGCCAAAATTGACAAATGGGATCTAATTAAACTAAAGAGCTTCTGTACAGCAAAAGAAACTACCATCAGAGTGAACAGGCAACCTAAAAAATGGGAGAAAATATTCACAACCTACTCATCTGACAAAGGGCTAATATCCAGAATCTACAATGAACTTAAACAAATTTACAAGAAAAAAACAAACAACCCCATCAAAAAGTGGGCAAATGACATGAACAGACACTTCTCAAAAGAAGACATTTATGCAGCCAAAAAACACATGAAAAAATACTCATCATCACTGGCCATCAGAGAAATGCAAATCAAAACCACAATGAGATACCATCTCACACCAGTTAGAATGGCAATCATTAAAAAGTCAGGAAACAAAAGGTGCTGGAGAGGATGTGGAGAAATAGGAACACTTTTACACTGTTGGTGGGACTGTAAACTAGTTCAACCATTGTGGAAGTCAGTGTGACGATTCCTCAGGGATCTAGAACTAGAAATACCATTTGACCCAGTCATCCCATGACTGGGTATATACCCAAAGGACTATAAATCATGCTGCTATAAAGACACATGCACACGTATGTTTATTGCGGCACTATTCACAATAGCAAAGTCTTGGAACCAACCCAAATGTCCAACAATGATAGACTGGATTAAGAAAATGTGGCACATATACACCATGGAATACCATGCAGTCATAAAAAATGATGAGTTCATGTCCTTTGTAGGGACATGGATGAAATTGGAAATCATCATTCTCAGTAAACTATCGCAAGAACAAAAAACTGAACATCGCATATTCTCACTCATAGGTGGGAATTGAACAATAAGATCACATGGACACAGTAAGGGGAACAACACACTCTGGGGACTCTGGTGGGGTGGGGAGATGGGGGAGGGATAGCTATGGGAGACATATCTAATGCTAGATGACGAGTTGGTGGGTGCAGCGCACCAGCATGGCACATGTATACATATGTAACTAACCTGCACAATGTGCACATGTACTCTAAAACTTAAAGTATAATAATAAAAATAAATAAATAAATAAATAAATAGGACAATAAATCTAGACAGAAACAATCTGAGAAACTTTTTGTGATGTGTGCTTTCATCTCACAGACTTAAACCTTCCTTTTGATTGAGCAGTTTTGGAAATCTCTTTTTGCAGAATCTGCAAGTGGACATTTGGAATGCTTTTAGGCCTATGGAAGAAAAGGAATTATCTTTACATAAAAACTAAACAGAAGAATTCTGAGAGAATTCTTTGTGATGTGTGCGTTCATCTGACAGAGTTGAACCTTTCTTTTGATTGAGCAGTTTGGAAACACTCTTTTTGTAGAACCTGCAAGTGGACATTTAGAGCGTTTTGTGGCCTATGGTAGAAAAGGAAATATCTTCACAAAAAATCTAGACAGAAGCAATCTGAGAAACGACTTTTTTTTGTGTGCATTTATCTCACAGAGTTAACCATTTCTTTTGATTGAGCAGTTTTGAAACTCTCTTTTTGTGGAATCTGCAAGTGGACATTTGGAGCACTTTGAGGCCTATGGTGTAAAAGGAAATACCTTCACGTAAAAACTAGATAGAAGCATTCAGAGAAACTTCTTTGTGGTGTGTGCATTCATTTCCCAGAGTTGAACCTTTTTTTTGATGGACCAGTTATGAAATAATCTTTTTGTAGAATTTGCAGTTGGACACTTCGAGCACCTTGAGGCCTATGGTGGAAAATGAAATATCTTCACATAAAAACTAAACACAAGTATTCTGAGCAACTTCTATGTGATGTGTGCATTCATCTCACAGAGTTGGACCTTTCTTTTGATTGAGAAATTTGTAAACCCTCTATTTGGAGAATCCGCAAGTGGACATTTGGTGTGCTTTGCCACCTATGATAGAAAAGGGACTATCTTCACATAAAATCTAGACATAAGCAATCAGATAAACTACTTTGTGTTTTGTGCATGCCCCTGAGAGTTAAACCTTTCTTTTGATTGAGGAGTTTTGAAACTCTCTTTTTGTAGAATCCGCAAGTCGATATTTGGAGGGCATTAAGGCCTCTGGTGGAAAAGGAAATATCTTCACATAAAAACTAGACAGAAGAATTCTGAGAAACTTCTTTGTGATGTGTGCATTCATCTCACAGAAGTGAACCTCTTTTTTGATTGAGCTGTTTGGAAACATTCTTTTTGTGGAATCTACAAGTGGATATTTGGAGCACTTTGGGGCCTGTGGTAGAAAAGGAAATATCTTCACATAAAATCTAGACAGAAGCAACCTGACAAACGTCCTTGTGATGTGCGCATTCATCTCACAGAGTTCAAAGTTTCTTTTCATGGAGCAATTTGGAAACACTCTTTTTGTAGAATCTTCAAGTGGACATTTGGAGGGCTTTGAGGCCTCTGGTGGAAAAGCAAATATCTTCACATGAATACTGGAGAGAAGAATTCTGTGAAACTTTTTTCTGATGCGTGCCTTCATCTCACACAGATGAACCTTCCTTTTGATTGAGCAGTTTGGAGACACTCTTTTTGTAGAATCTGCAAGTGGACATTTGGAGCCCTTTGCCGCCCATGGTAGAAAAGGAAGTATCTTCAAATAAATCTCTGCCGAAGCAACCTGAGAAACTTCTTTGTGATGTGTGCATTCATCTCATAGAGTTAAACATTTCTTTTGATTGAACAGTTTTGAAACTCTCTTTTTGTAGAATCTGCAAGTGGACATTTGGATCACTTTGAGGCCTATGGTGGAAAAGGAAATATCTTCACATAAAAACTAGACAGAAGAATTATGAGAAACTTCCTTGTGATGTGTGCATTCATCTGACAGAGTTGAACCTTTCTTTGGAGTGAGCAGTTTGGAAACACTCTTTTTGTAGAATCTGCTAGGGGACATTTGGAGCGTGTGGCGGCCTATGGTAGAAAGGGAAATATCTTCATATAACGTCTAGACAGAAGCAATCTGAGAAACTTCTTTGTGAAGTGGGCATTCATCTGACAGAGTTGAACCTTTCTTTTGATTGAGCAGTTTGGAAAATCTCTTTTTGTAGAATCTGCAAGTGGACATTTTGAGGGCTTTGAGGACTAAGGTGGAAAAGGAAATATCTTCACATCAAAACTAGACAGAAGAATTCTGAAGAACTTCCTTGTGATGCGTGCATTCATCTTACAGAGTTGAACCTTTCTTTGGAGTGAGCAGTTTGGAAACACTCTTTTTGTAGAATCTGCCAGGGAACATTTGGAGCGTGTGGCGGCCTATGGTAGAAAGGGAAATATCTTCATATAACGTCTAGACAGAAGCAATCTGAGAAACTTCTTTGTGAAGTGGGCATTCATCTGACAGAGTTAAACCTTTCTTTTGATTGAGCAGTTTTGAAACTCTCTTTTTGTAGAACCTGCAAGTGGCCATTTGGAGCGCTTTGAGTCCTATGTTGGAAAAGGAAATATTCTCACATAAAAACTAGACAGAGGTATTCTGAGAAACTTCTTTTTGATGCGTGCATTCATCTCAAAGAGTTGAACATTTCTTCTGATTGAGGAGTTTTGAAAAACTTCATTTTGTAGAATCTGCAAGTGGACATTTGGAGCGTTTTGCAGCCTATGGTAGAAAAGGAAATATCTACACATAAAATCTAGACAGAAGCTATCTGAAAAACTTCTTTGTGATATGTGCATTCATATTCCAGAATTAAACCTTTCTTTTGATTGAGCAGTTTTCAAACTCTCTTTTTGTGTAATCTGCAAGTGCACATTTGGAGGGCTTTGTGGCCGATGGTGGAAAAGGAAATATCTTCAATAAAAACTAGATAGAAGCATTCTGAATAACTTCTTCATGATGTGTGCATTCATATCCCAGAGTTGAACCTTTCTTTTAATGGACCAGTAACGAAATACTCTTTTTGTAGAATCTGCAAGTGGACATTTCGAGCACCTTGAGGCCTATAGAGAGAAAAGAAATACTTTCACATAAAAATGAGACAGAAGAATTCTGAGAAACTTCTTTGTGATACGTGTGTTCATCTCACAGAGTTGAAACTCTTTTTTGATTGAGCTGTTTGGGAACATTCTTTTTGTGGAATCCACAAGTGGATATTTGGAGCGCGTTGGGGCCTATGGTAGAAAAGGAAATATCTTTACATAAAATCTAGACAGAAGCAACCTGACAAACTTCCTTGTGATGTGTGCTTTCGTCTAAGAGAGTTAAAACTTTCTTTTGATTGAGGAGTTTTGAAACTCTCTTTTTGTAAAATCTGCAAGTGGATATTTGGAGCACTTTGAGGCCTATGGTGGAAAAGGAAATATCTTCACATAAAAACTAGACAGAAGAGTTCTGAGAAACTTCTTTGTGATGTGTGCGTTCATCTCACAGAGTTCAAAGTTTCTTTTCATGGAGCATTTTGGAAACACTCTTTTTGTAGAATCTTCAAGTGGACATTTGGAGGGCTTTGAGGCCTCTGGTGGAAAAGCAAGTATCTTCACATGAAAACTGGAGAGAAGAATTCTGTGAAACTTTTTTCTGATGTGTGCGTTCATCTCACACAGATGAACCTTCCTTTTGATTGAGCAGTTTGGAGACACTCTTTCTGTAGAATCTGCAAGTGGACATTTGGAGCCCTTTGTGGCCAATGGTAGAAAAGGAAGTATCTTCATATAAATCTCTGCCGAAACAACCAGATAAACTTCTTTGTGATGTGTGCATTCATCTCACAGAGTTGAACCTTTCTTTTGATTGAGCAGTTTTGAAACACTCTTTTTGTAGAATGTGCAAGTGGATATTTGGAGCCCTTTGTGGCCTATGGTAGAAAAGGAAATATCTTCACATAAAGATTACACAGAAGCATTCTGAGAAACATGTTTGTGTTGAGTGCATGCAGCTCACAGAATTGAACCTATGTTTTGTGGGAATTGAACAATGAGATCACATGGACACAGGAAGGGGAACATCACACTCTGGAGAATGTTGTGGGGTGGGGAAAGGGGTAGGGGGTAGCTTTGGGAGATATACCTAATGCTAGATGACGAGTTAGTGGGTGCAGCACACCAGCATGGCACATGTATACGTATGTAATTAACCTGTACAATGTGCACATGTACCCTAAAATTTAAAGTATAATAATAAACAAAGAAATTAAAAAAAAAGAACAGGAAACATGGAAAAAAAAGGAATTGAACCTATGTTTTGATTGAGCAGTTTTGAAACACTCTTTTTGTAGAATCTGCAAGTGGATATTTGGATCGATTTGACACCTATTGTGGAAAAGGAAATGTCTTCACATAAAAGCTACACAGCAGCATTCTGAGAAACTTCTTTGTTTTGTGTGCATTCAACTCACGGAGCTGAACCTATTTTTTGATTGAGCAGTTTTGAATCTCTCTTTTTGCATAATCTGTGAGTGGATATTTGGAGAGATTTGAGGTCTACTGTGGAAAAGGAAATATCTTCACAGAAAAACTACACAGAAGCATTCTGAGAAACTTCATGGTGATGTGCACATTCATCTCACAGAGATGAATCTTTCTTTTCATTTAGCAGTTTTGAAACACTCTGTTTGTAGAATCTGCAAGCGGATAATTGGAGCACTTTGAGGCCTATTGTTGAAAAGAAAATATCTTCACATGAAATATACACAGAAGCATTCCAAGAAACCTCTTTGCGATGTGTGCATTCATCTCACAGAGTTGAACCTTTCCTTTGATTGAGCAGTTTTGAAAAACTTTTTATGTAGAATCTGCAAGTTGATATTCTGAGTGCTTAGATTCCTATTGTGGAAAAGGAAATATCTTTACATATAAACTGCACAGAATCATTCTGAGAAACTTCTGTGTGATGTGTGCATTCATCTCACAATGTTGAACCTTTCTTTTTATTCAGCAGTTTTGAAACTTTCTGTTTGTAAAACAGAAAACTACAAGGAAGCATTCTGAGAAACACCTTTGTTAAGTGTGCATTAAACTCACAGAGTTGAAACTTTCTTTTGATTGAGCAGTTTTGAATCTCTCTTTTTGTAGAATCTGCAAGAGGATATTTGGAGCCCTTTTCGACCTATGGTGGAAAAGGAAATACCTTCATATAAAAACTACAAAAAAGATTTCTGAGGAACTTCTACGTCATGTGTACCTTCATCTCACAGAGTTGAACCTTTCTTTTGATTGAGCAGTTTGGAAACACTCTTTTTGTTGTATCTACAAGTGAATGTTTGGATCACTTTGAAGCATATGGTAGAAAAGGAAACATCTTCACATAAAAACTACACAGAAGCATTTGAGAAACTTCTTTGTGATGTGTGCTTTCATCTCAAATTGTTGAACCTATCTTATGATTGAGCAGTTTTGAAACACTCTTTTTGTAGAATCTGCAAGTGTTTATTTGGAGCCGATGTGGCCTATTGTGAAAAAGGAAATATCTTCACATAAAACTACACAGAAGCATTCTGAGAAACCACTTTGTGATATGTGCATTAAACTCACAGAGGTGAACCTATCTTTTCATTGAGCAGTTTTGATTCCCTCCTTTTGCAGGATCTGCAAGTGGACATTTGGAGCCCTTTGTGGCCTATGGAGGAAAAGGAAATATCTTCAAATAAAAACTACCCAGAAGCATTCTGAGGAACTTCTTTGCTATGTATGCATTCAACCCACAGAGTTGAAACTATCTTATGATTCAGCAGTTTTGAAGCACTGTTTTTGTAGAATCTTCAAGTGGATATTTGGAGCGCTTTGAGGCCTACTGTGGAAAAACAAATATCTTCACATAAAAACTTCACAGAAGCATTCTGAGAAACTTCTTTGTGATGTGTGCATTCAACTCACGGAATCGAACCTATATTTTGATGGAGCAGTTTTTAGTCTCTCTTTTTGCAGAATCTGCAACTGGATATTTGGAGAGCTTTGAAGCCTAGTGTGGAAAAGGAAATATCTTCACATAACAACTACACAGAAGCATTCTGAGAAACTTTTTGTGATGTGTGCATTCAACTCACAGAGTTGAACCTATCTTTTGATTGAACAGTTTCCAATCACTCTTTTTGTAGAATCTGAGAGTGAATATTTGCAGCGCTTTTAGGCCTATTGTGGAAAAGGAAATATTTTCACATAAAAACTACACAGAATCTTTCTGAGACATTTCTTTGTTACGAGTGCATTCATCACACATAGTTGAAACTTTCCTTTTGATTGAACAGTTTTGTAACACTCTTTATGTAGAAACTGCAAGTGGATATTTGGAGGGCTTTGAGGCCTATTTTGGAAAAGGACATATCTTCACATCAAAACTACACAGAAGCATTCTGAGAAACTTCTTTGTGATGTGTACATTCAACTCACAGTGTTGAAACTATCTTTTGATAGAGCAGTTTTGAAACACTCTTTTTGTAGAATCTGCAAGTGGATATTTGGAGCACTTTGAGGCCTATTGTGGAAAAGGAAATATCTTCATGTAAAAACTACACGTAGGCAGTCTGAGAAACTTCTTTATGATGTGTTCATTCATCATACAGATTTTAACTTCTTTTGATTGAGCAGATTTGAAACACTCTTTTTGTAGAATCTGCAGGTGGATATTTGGAGGGTTTTGAGGCTTATTTTGGAAAAGGAAATATCTTCACATAAAGACTACACAGAAGAATTCTCAGAATCATCTTTGTGATGTGTGCATTCAACTCACAGAGTTGAACCAATGTCTTAATGGAGCAGTTTTGAATCTTTTTGTGGAATCTTCAACCGGATATTTGGAGCCCTTATCAGCCTATGGTGGAAAAGGAATTATCTTTAAATAAACTCTACACGGAGGAATTGTGAGAAATTTCTTTGTGATGTGTGAACTCATCTCACAGAGTTGAAATTTTCTTTTGATTGAGTAGTTTTGAAAAGCTGTTTTCGTAGAATCTGCAAGTGGATATTTGGGGTGCTTTGAGGCCTATTGTGGAAAAGGAAATATCTTCACATAAAAACTACACAGAAGCATTCTGAGAAGCTACTTTGTGATGTGTGCATTCATCTCACAGTGTTGAAATTTTCTTTTGATTGTGCAATTCTGAAATGCTGTTTTCATAGTATCTGCAAGTGGATATTTGGAGCGTTTTGAGGCCTACTGTGGAAGAACAAATATCTTCACACAAGAACCACACTGAGGCATTCTGAGAAACTTCTTCATGATGTGTGCATTCAACTCACATAGTTGAAACTATCTTTTGATTGGGCAGTATTGAATCTCTCTTTGTAGAATCTACAACTGGATATTTGGTGCCCTTTTTGGCCTATGAATGAAAAGGAAATATCTTCAAAGAAAAGGTACACAGAAGCATTCAGAGAAACTTCTTCATGATATGTGCATTCAGCTCACAGAGGTGAACCTTTCATTTGATTGAGCAGTTTTGAAACACTCTCTTTGTAGAATCTGTAAGTGGATACTTGGAGCGTTTCGAGGCCTACTGTGGAAAAGGAAATATCTTCACATAAAAACTACACAGAAGATTTCTGGGAAACTTCCCTGTGATATGTGCATTCCTCTCACAGAGTTGAATATTTCTTTTGATTGAGCAGTTTGGAAACCCTCTTTTTGTAGCGTCTGCAAGTGGATATTTGGAGCAATTGAGGCCTACTCTGAAAAAGAAAATATCTTCACATAAAAACAACACAGAGGCATTCTGAGAAACTTCTTTGAGATGTGTGCCTTCATCTCACAGAGTTGAACATTTTTTTTGATTCAGCAGTTTTGAAACAATCTTTTTGTAGAATCTGCAAGCAGATATTTGGGGCCCTTTGTGGCCTAAGGTGGAAAAGGAAATATCTTCAAATAAAAACTACACAGAAGCATTCTGAGAAACTTCTTTTTGATATGTGCATTAAACTCACAGAGGTGAACCTATCTTTTCTTTGAGCAGTTATGAATCCCTCATTTTGTATGATCTGCAAATAGACATTTGGAGCCCTTTGCAGCCTATGGAGGAAAAGGAAATATCTTCAAATAAAAACTACCCAGAAGCATTCTGAGGAACTTCTTTGTTATGTGTGCATTCAACCCACAGAGTTGAACCTATCTGGTGATTCAGCAGTTTTGAAACACTGTTTTTGTACAATCTTCAAGTGGATATTTGGAGCGTTTTGAGGCCTACTGTGGAAAAGCAAATATCTTCACATAAAAACTTCACAGAAGCATTCTGGGAAACTTCTTTGTGATGTCTGCATTCATCTCACACAGTTGAACCTGTCTTATGATTGAGCAGTATTGAAACAAACTTTTTGTAGAATCCACAAGTGGATATTTGGAGTGCTTTGAGGCCTATTGTGGAAAACGAAATATCTTAACATAAAAACTACACAAAAGCATCCTGATAAACTTATTTGTGATGTATGCATTCATCTTACAGAGTTGAAACTTTCTTTTGATTGAGCAGTTTTGAAACACACTTTTTGTAGAATCTGCAAGTGGATATGTGGAAGGCTTTGAGGCCTGTTTTGAAAAAGGAAATATCTTCACGTAAAAACTACACAGAAGCATTCTGAGAAAATTCTTTGTGATGTGTGCTTTCATCTCACAGTGTTGAAACTTTCTTTTGATTGAGCAGTTTTGTAACACTCTTTTTGTAGAATCTGCAAGAGGATATTTGGAGCGCTTTGAGGCCTACAGTGGAATAGGAAATATCTTCACATAAAAACTACACAGAAGCATTCTGAGAAACTTCTTTGTGATGTGTGCATTCAACTCACAGAGTTGAACTTTTCTTTTGATTGAGTAGTTTTGAAACACTCCATTTGTAGAATATGCAAGTGGATATTTGGAGCACTTTGAGGCCAACAGTTGAACGCAAATATATTTACATAAAAACTACACAGAAGCATTCTGAGAAACTTCTTTTTGATGTGTGCATTTATCTCACACAGTTGAACTTTTCTTTTGTTTGAGCAGTTTTGAAACACTCTCTTTGTAGAATCTGCAAGTGGCTATTTGGAGGGCTTTGAGGCCTATTTTGGAAAACGAAATATCTTCACATAAAAAATATACAGAAGCATTCTGAGAAAATTCTTTGTGATGTGTGCATTCATCTCACAGAGTTGAACCTTTTTTTATTGAGCAGTATTGAAACACTGTTTTTGTATAATCTGCAAGTGGATATTTGGAACGCTTTGAGGCCTATTGTGGAAAAGAAAATATCTTCACTTAAAGACCACACAGAAGCATTCTGAGAAACTTCTTTGTGATGTGTGAATTCAACTCACTGATGTGAATCTAACTTTTGATGAGCAGTTTTGAAACTCTCTTTTTATAGTATCTGCAGGTGTATATTTGGAGCCCTTTGAGGCCTATGGTGGAAAAAGAAATGCCTTCACATGAAAACTACACAGAAGTATTCTGAGAAATTCCTTTGTGATGTGTGCATTCAACTCACAGATTCGAACCTATCTTTTGATTGAGCCATTTTGAAACTGTCTTTTTCTATTATCTGCAAGTGGATATTTCTAGCCTTTTGTGGCCTATTGTGGAAAAGGAAATGCCTTCACATAAAAAACAAACAGAAGTATTCTGAGAAACTTCTTTGTGATCTGTGCATTCATCTCACAGGGATGAACCTTTCTTTTGATTGAGCAGTTTTGAAACAATCTTTTTGAAGTATCTGCAAGTGAATATTTGGAGCACTTTGAGGCCTATTGTGTAAAAGAAATATCTTCACATAAAAACTACACAGAAGCTTTCTGAGAAACTTCTCTGTGATGTGTGCATTCAACTCATGGAGTTGAACCTATTTTTTCATTGAACAGTTTTGAAACTCTCTTTTTGTAGAATCTGCAAGTGGTTATTTGGAGCCATTTGTGGCCAATGGTGGAAATGGGAATATCTTCAACTAAAAACTACATGGAAGCATTCTGAGAAACTTCGTGGTGATGTGTGCATTCATCTCACAGAGATGAATCTTCCTTTTCGTTTAGCAGTTTTGAAACACTCTGTTTGTAGAATCTGCAAGTGGATAATTGGAGCACTTTGAGGCCTATAGTTGAAAAGAAAATATCTTCACATGAAATCTCCGCAGAAGCATTCCGAGAAACTTCTTTGTGAAGTGTGCATTCATCTCACAGAGTTGAACCTTTCTTTTGATTGAGCAGTTTTGAAAAACTCTTTTTGTAGAATCTGCAAGTTGATATTTGGAGCGCTTAGATTCCTATTGTGGAAAAGGAAATATATTCACATTAAAGCTGCACAGAATCATTCTGAGAAAGTTCTGTGTGATGTGTGCATTCATCTCACAGTGTTGAACCTTTCTTTTCATTCAGCAGTTTTAAAACTTTCTTTTTGTAGAATCTGCAAGTGGATATTTGGAGCTCTTTGAGGCCTATGGTGGAAATGGAAATATCTTCACATAAAAACTACACAGAAGCATTTTGAGAAACATCTTTGTTAAGTGTGCATTAAAGTAACAGAGTTGAAACTATCTTTTGATTCAGCAGTTTTGAATCTCTCTTTTTGTAGAATCTGCAAGAGGATATTTGGAGCCCTTTGCCGCCTACGGTGGAAAAGGACATACCTTTACATAAAAACTACAAAAAAGATTTCTGAGGAAATTCTTTGTGATGTGTGCCTTCATCTCACAGAGTTGAACCTTTCTTTTGATTGAGCAGTTTGGAAACACTCTTTTTGTAGTATCTACAAGTGGATGTTTGGATCGCTTTGAGACCTATGGTGGAAAAGGAAATATCTTCACATGCGAACTACACAGAAGCATTCTGAGAAACTTCTTTGTGATGTGTGCATTCAATTCACAGGTTTGAACCTATCTTTTGATTCAGCAATTTTGAAACTCTCTTTTTGTAGAATCCGCAAGTGGATATTTGGAACTATTTGCTATCTATGGTGGAAAAGGAGATATCTTCACATAAAAAATACAGAGAAGCATTCTGAGAAACTTCTTTGTGATGTGTGCATTCATCTCACAGAGTTGAACCTTTCTTCTGATTATGCAGTTATGAAACAGTCTTTTTAAAGGATCAGCAAGTGGATATTTGGAATACTCTTAGGCCTATTGTGTAAAAGGAGATATCTTCACATAAAAACTATGCAGAACCATTCTGAGAAACTACTTTGCAATGTGTGCATTCATCTCACAGAGTTGAACCTTTCTTTTGATTGAGCAGTTTGGAAACACTCATTTTGTAGAATCTGCAAGTGGATATTTGGAGCACTTTGTGGCCTATGGTGGAAATGGGTATATCTTCACATAAAAACTATGCGGAAGCATTCAGAGAAACTTCTTTGTGATGTGTGCATACAACTCACAGAGTTGAAACTTTCGTTTGATTGAGCAGTTTTGAAACTCCCTTTTTGTAGAATCTGCAAGTGGATATTTGGAGCCCTTTGTGGCCTATGGTGGAAAAGGAAATATTTTCACATAAAAACTACACAGAAGCCAACTGGCAAATGAGGTGGCAGTCAAGATGGTCAAATAAGAACAGCTCTGTTCTACAGCTCCCAGCGTGAGTGACACAGAAGTTGGGAGATTTCCTCATTTCCATCTGAGATACCTGGTTCATCTCATTAGGAAGTGCCAGACAGTGGGCGCAGGATAGTGGGTGCAGTGCACCATGTGTGGGCAGAAGCAGAGAGAGGCATTTCCTCACTTGGGAAGTGCAAGTGGTTAGGGAGTTCCCTTTCCTAGTCAAATAAAGAGGTGACAGACGGCACCTGGGAAATCTGGTCACTCCTACACTAATACTGTACTTTTTCAATGGGCTTAAAAAATGGCACACCAGGAGATTATATCCCACACCTTGCTTGGAGCGTCCTATGTCAACCGTGTCTCACTGATTGCTAGCACAGCAGTCTGTGATCAAACTACAAGGTGGTAGTGAGGCTGGGGGTGGGGCACCCCCATTGCCCAGGATTGCTTAGGTAAACAAAGCTGCTGGAAAACTCGAAGTAGGTGTAGCCCACCACAGCTTTCGGTGGCCTGCCTTCCTCTGTAGGCTCCACCTCTGGGGGCAGGGCACAGACAAACAAAAAGATAGCAGTAACCTCTGCAGACTTAAATGTCCCTGTCTGACAGCTTTGAAGAGAGCAGTGGTTCTCCCAGTACACAGCTGGAGATCTGAGAATGGGCAGACTGCCTCCCCAAGTGGGTACCTGACCCCTGAACCCTGAGCAGCCTAAGTGGGAGACACCCCCCAGTAGGGTCAGACTGACACCTCACACTGCCGTGTACTCCTCTGAGACAAAATATCCAGAGCAAAGATCAGACAGCAGCACTCGTGGTTCATGAAAATCCGCTGTTCTGCAGTCACCGCTGCTGATACCCAGGCAAACAGGATCTGGAGTGGACCTCTAGCAAACTCCAACAGACCTGCAGCTGAGGGTCCTGTCTGTTAGAAGGAAAACTAACAAACAGAAAGGACATCCACAACAAAAACCCATCTGTATATCAACATCATCAAAAACCAAAAGTAGATAAAACCACAAAGATGGGGAAAAAACAGAACAGAAAAACTAGAAACCCTAAAAAGCAGAGTGCCTCTCCTCCTCCAAAGGAATGCAGTTCCTCACAAGCAATGGAACAAAGCTGGATGGAGAATGACTTTGACTAGCTGAGAGAAGAAGGCTTCAGAAAATCAAATTACTCCGAGTTATAGGAGGAAATTCAAACCAAAGGTAAAGAAGTTAAAAACTTTTTAAAAATTTACACGAATGTATAGCTAGAATAACCAACATAGAGAAGTGCTTAAAGGAGCTGATGGAGCTGAAAGCCAAGGCTCCAGAACTACGTGAAGAATGCAGAAGCCTCAGGAGCTGATGCGATCAACTGGAAGAAAATGTATCAGTGATGGAAGATGAAATGAATGAAATAAAGTGAGAAGGGAAGTTTAGAGAAAAAATAAAAAGAAATGAAGAAAGACTCCAAGAAATATGGGACTATGTAAAAAGACCATATCTATGTCTGATTGGTGTACCTGAAAGTGATGCGGAGAATGGAACCAAGTTGGAAAACACTCTGCAGGATATTATCCAGGAGAACTTCCCCAATCTAGCAAGGCAGGCCAACATTCAGATTCAGAAAATACACAGAATGCCACAAAGATACTCCTCGAGAAGAGCAACTCCAAGACACATAATTGTCAGATTCACCAAAGTTGAAATGAAGGAAAAAATGTTAAGGGCAGCCAGAGAGAAAGGTGGAGTTACCCTCAAAGGGAAGCCCATCAGACTAACAGCAGATCTCTTGGCAGAAACTCTACAAGCCGGAAGAGAGTGTGGGCCAATATTCAACATTTTGAAAGAAAAGAATTTTCAAACCAGAATTTCATATCCAGCCAAACTAAGCTTCATAAGTGAAGGAGAAATAAAATACTTTACAGACAATCAAATGCTGAGAGATTTTGTCACCACCAGGCCTGCCCTAAAAGAGCTCCTGAAGGAAGCACTAAACATCGAAAGAAACAACCAGTACCAGCCACTGCAAAATCATGCCAAATTGTAAAGTCCACTGTGGCTAGTAAGAAACTGCATCAACTAACGAGCAAAATAACCAGCAAACATCATAACGACAGGATCAAATTCACACATAACAATATTAACTCTAAATGTAAATGGACTAAATGTTCCATTTAAAGACACAGACTGGCAATTTGGATAAAGAGTCAAGACCCATCAGTGTGCTGTATTCAGGAAACCCATCTCACATGCAGAGATACACATAGGCTCAAAATGAAAGGATGGTGGAAGATCTACCAAGTAAATGGAAAGCAAAAAAAGGCAGGGGTTGCAATACTAGTCACTGATAAAACAGACTTTAAACCAACAAAGATCAAAAGAGACAAAGAAGGCCATTACATAATGGTAAAGGGATCAATTCAACAAGAAGAGCTAACTATCCTAAGTACATATGCACCCAATACAGGAGCACTCAGATTCTTAAAGCAAGTCCTGAGTGATGTACAAAGAGACTTAGACTCCCACACAATAATAATTGGAGACTTCAACACCCCACTGTCAATATTAGACAGATCAACGAGATAAAAAGTTAACAAGGATACCCAGGAATTGAACTCAGCTCTGCACCAAACAGACCTAACAGACATCAACAGAACTCTCCACCCCAAATCGAAAGAATATACATTTTTTTCAGCACCACAGCACACCTATTCCAAAATTGACCACATAGTTGGAACTAAAGCTATCCTCAGCAAATATAAAAGAACAGAAATTATAACAAACTGTCTCTCAGACCACAGTGCAATCAAACTAGAACTAAGGATTAAGAAACTCACTCAAAACTGCTCAACTACATGGAAACTGAACAACCTACTCCTGAATGACTACTGGGTACATAACAAAGTGAAGGCAGAAATAAAGATGATCTTTGAAACCAACGAGAACAAAGACACAACATACCAGAATCTCTGGGACACATTCAAAGCAGTGTGTAGAGGGAAATTTATAGCACTAAATGCCCACAAGAGAAAGCAGGAAAGATCCAAAATTGACATCCTAACATCACAATTAAACGAACCAGAAAAGCAAGACAAACGTATTCAAAAGCTAGCAGAAGGCAAGAAATAACTAAAATCAGAGCAGAACTGAAGGAAATAGAGACACAAAAAAACCTTCAAAAATTAATGAATCCAGGAGCTTGTTTTTTGAAAAGATCAACAAAATTGATAGACTGCTAGCAAGACTAATAAAGAAGAAAAGAGAGAAGAATCAAATAGACGCAATAAAAAATGATAAAGTGAGTATCACCATTGATCCCACAGAAATACGAACTACCATCAGAGAATACTACATACACCTCTACACAAACAAACTACAAAATCTAGAAGGAATGGATAAATTCCTTGACACACACACCCTCCCAAGACTAAACCAGGAAGAAGTTGAATCTCTGAATAGACCAATAAGAGGCTCTGAAATTGTGGCAATAATCAATAGCTTACGAACCAAAAAGAGTCCAGGACCAGATGGATTTACAGCCGAATTCTACCAGAGGTACAAGGAGGAACTGGTACCATTCCTTCTGAAAAGATTCCAATCAATAGAAAAAGAGGGAATCCTCCCTAATTCATTTTATGAGGCCAGCATCATCCTGATACCAAAGACGGGCAGAGACACAACCAAAAAACAAAATTTTAGACCAATATCCTTGATGAACACTGATGCAAAAATCCTCAATAAAATACTGGCGAACCGATTCCAGAAGCACATCAAAAAGCTTATCCAATATGATCAAGTGGGCTTCATCCCTAAGATGCAAGGCTGGTTCAATATACGCAAATCAATAAATGTAATCCAGCATATAAACAGAATCAAAGAGAAAAAACACATGATTATCTCAATAGATGCAGAAAAGGCCTTTGACAAAATTCAACAACGCTTCATGCTAAAACCTCTCAATAAATTAGGTATTGATGGGACATATCTCAAAATAATAAGAGCTAGCTATGACAAACCCACAGCCAATATCATACTGAATGGGCAAAAACTGGAAGCATTCCCTTTGAAAACTGGCACAAGACAGGGATGCCCTCTCTCACCACTCTTATTCAACATAGTGTTGGGAATTCTGGCCAGGGCCATTAGGCAGGAGAAGGAAACAAAGGGTATTCAATTAGGAAAAGAGGAAGTCAAATTGTGCTTGTTTGCAGATGACATGATTGTATATCTAGAAAACCCCATCGTCTCAGCCCAAAATCTCCTTAAGCTGATAAGCAACTTCAGCAAAGTCTCAGGATACAAAACAATGTACAAAAATCACAAGCATTCTTATACACCAATAACAGACAAACAGAGCTAAATCATGAGTGAACTCCCATTCGCAATTGCTTCAAAGACAATAAAATATGTAGGAATCCAACTTACAAGGGACGTGAAGGACCTCTTCAAGGAGAACTACAAACCACTGCTCAATGAAATAAAAGAGGATATAAAGAAATGGAAGAACATTCCATGCTCATGGGTAGGAAGAATCAATATCATGAAAATGACCATACTGCCCAAGGTAATTTATAGATTCAATGTCATCCCCATCAAGCTACCAATGACCTTCTTCCCAGAATTGGAAAAAACTACTTTAAAGTTCATATGGAACCAAAAAGAGCCCACATCAACAAGTCAATCCTAAGCCACAAGAACAAAGCTGGAAGCATCAGGCTCCCTGACTTCGAACTATACTACAAGGCTACAGTAACCAAGACAGCATGGTACTGGTACTAAAACAGAGATATAGATCAATGGAACAGAACGGAGCCCTCAGAAATAACAGTGCATATCTACAACTATCTGATCTTTGATAAACCTGAACAAAACAAGTAATGGGGAAAGGATTCCCTATTTAGTAAGTGGTGCTAGGAAAACTGGCTAGCCATATGTAGAAAGCTGAAACTGGATCCCTTCCTTACACCTTATATAAAAATTAATTTAAGATGGATTAAAAAGTTAAACGTTAGACCTAAAACCATAAAAATCCTAGAAGAAAACCCAGGCATTACCATTCAGGACATAGGCATGGGCAAGGACTTCATGTCTAAAACACCAAAAGCAATGGCAACAAAAGCCATAATTGACAAATGGGATCTAATTAAACTAAAGAGTTTCTGCACAGCAAAAGAAACTACCAGCAGAGTGAACAGGCAATATACAAAATGGGAGATAGTTTTCACAACCTACTTATCTGACAAAGGGCTAATATCAAGAATCTACAATGAACTCAAACAAATTTACAAGAAAAAACAAACAACCCTTTCAAAAAGTGGGTGAAGGACATGAACAGACACTTCCCAAAGAAGACATTTATACAGCCAAAAACACATGAAAATATGCTCATCCTTAACTGGCCACCAGAGAATTGCAAATGAAAACCACAATGAGATACCACCTCACACCAGTTAGAATGGCAATCATTAAAAAGTCAGGAAACAACAGGTGTTGGAGAGGATATGGAGAAATAGAAACACTTTTACACTGTTGGTGGGGCTGTAAATTAATTCAGCCATTGTGGAAGTCAGTGTGGCGATTCCTCAGGGATGTAGAGCTAGAAATACAATTTGAGCCAGACATCCCATTACTGGGTATATACCCAAGGACTATAAATCATGCTGCTTTAAAGACACATGCACACGTATGTTTATTGCAGCACTATTCGCAATAGCAAAGACTTGGAACCAACCCAAATGTCCAAGAATAACAGAGTGGATTAAGAAAATGTGGCACATATACACCATGGAATACTATGGAGCCATATAAAAACGATGAGTTCATGTCCTTTGTAGGAACATGGATGAAATTGGAAATCATCATTCTCAGTAAACTATCGCAAGGACAAAAAACCAAACACTGCATGCTCTCACTCATAGGTGGGAATTGAGCGATGGGAACACATGGACACAGGAAGGGGAACATCACACTCTGATGTGGGGTGGGGGGAGGGGGGACGGATAGCATTAGGAGATATACCTAATGCTAAATGACGAGTTAATGTGTGCAGCACACCAATATGGCACATGTACACATATGTAACTAACCTGCACAATGTGCACGTGTACCCTAAAACTTAAAGTATAATAATAATAAAATAAAATAAATTAAAAAAAAACTACACCGCAGTACTCTGAGAAACTTCTTTGCGATGAATGCATGCAACTCTCAGAGTTGAACATATCTTTTGATTGAACAGTTTTAAAAATATATTTTTGTAGAATCTGGAAGTAGATATATGGAGCCCTTTGAGGCCTATAGTACAAAAGGAAACATCTTCACATAAAATCTACACAGAAGCGTTCTGAGAAATTTCTTGGTGATGTGTGCATTCATCTCACAGAGTTGAATATTTCTTTTGATTGTGCAGCTTGAAACACTGTTTTTGTGGAATCTGCAAGTGGATACTTGGAGTGTTATGTGGCCTATTGTGGAAAACGAAATATCGTCACATAAAAACTTCACAGAAGCATTCTGTGAAACATTTTTGTTATTGTGTATTCAACTCACAGAGTTGAACCTGTCTTTTTAGAGAGCAATTTTGAAACTGTCTTTTCGTAGAATCTGCAAGTGGATATATGGAGCCCTTTGGACCTATGGTGTAAAAGGAAATATCTTCACAAAAAAACTACACAGAAGCATTCTGAGAAACTTCTCTGTGAAGGGTGCATTCATCTCACAGACTTGAACATTTCTTTTGATTGAGCAGTTTGGAAACTTTTTTTTGTAGAATCTGCAAGTGGATATTTGGAACGCTTTGGGGACTATTGTGGAAAAGGAAATATCTTCACATAAAAATTACACAGAAGCATTCTGAGAAGCTTCTTTGCGATGTGTGCATTCATCTGACAGAGTTGAAACTTTCTTTGAGCAGTTTGGAAACACCCTTTTTGTAGAATCTGCAAGTGAATATTTGGAGCCCTTTGAGGCTTATGGTGGAAAAGGAAATATCTTCAGATAAACACTACACAGGAGCATTCTGAAAAACTGCTTTGTGATGTGTGCATTCATCTCACAGAGTTGAATTTTTCTTTTGATTGAGCAGTTTTGAAACGCTCTTTTTGTGGAATGTGAAAGTGGATATTTGGAGGGTTTTGAGGCGTACGGTGGAAAAGGAAATATCTTCACATAAAAACTACAAAGAAGGATTCTGAGTAACTTATTTGTGATGTGTGCATTCAACTCACAGATTTGAACATATCTTTGGATTGAGCAGCTTTGAAATTGTCTTTTTGTGCAATCTGCAAGTGGATATTTTGAGCCCTTTATGGCCTATGGTGGAAAAGGAAATATCTTCAGATAAAAACTACACAGAAGCATTCTGAGAAACTTCTTTGTGATGTGTACATTCATCTCACAGAGTAGAAACTTTCTTTTGATTAAGCAGTTATGAAATACCCTTTGTGTAGAATGATCATGTGGATATTTGGAGGGCTTTGAGGCCTACTGTGGAAAAGTTAATATCTTCACGTAAAAACTACTCAGAATCATTCTGAGAAACTTCTTTGCGATTTGTGAATTCATCTGACTGACTTCAACCTTTCTTTTGTTTGGACAGTTTAGAAACACTCTTTTTATGGAATCTGCAAGTGACTATTTGGAGGGATTTGAGGCCTATGGCGGAAAAGAAAATATCTTTACATAAAAACTACACAAAAGCATTCTGAGAAACTTCTTTGTGATGTGTGCATTCAACTCACACAGCTAAACCTATCTTTTGATTGACTAGTTTTGAAACTCTGTTTTGTAGAATCTGCAAGTGGATATTTGGAGTTCTTTGAGGCCTATTGTGGAAAAGAAAATATCGTCACATAAAAACTACTCAGAAGCATTCTGAGAAACTTCTTTGTGATGTGTGCATTAATCTCAAGGAGTTGAACATTTCTTTTGATTGTGCAGCTTGGAAACACTGTTTTTCTAGAATCCGCAAATGGATATTTGGAGCGCTATGTGGCCTATGATGGAAAAGGAAATATCTTCACGTAAAAACTTCACAGAAGCATTCTGAGAAACTTCTTTGTTATGTTTGTATTCAAGTCACATAGTTGAACCTATCTTTTGATACAGCAGTTTTGAAACTCTCTTTTTGTAGAATCTGCAAGAGGATATTGGGAACCCTTTGCAGCCTATGGTGTAAAAGGAAATATCCTCACATAAAAACTACACAGAAGCATCCTGAGAAACTTCTTTGTGATGTGTGCATTTATCTCACAGAGTTTAACTTTTCTTTTGATTGTGCAGTTTGGAAACACTCCTTTTGTAGAATCTGTACGTGGACATTTGGAGGGTTTTGAGTCGTATGGTGGTAAAGAAAGTGTCATCACATGAAAAATACACAGAGGTATTCTGAGAAACTTCTTTGTGACGTGTGGATTCACCTCCCAGAGTTGAACCTATCGTTTGATTAAGAAGTTTTGAAACTCTTTTTGTAGAACCTGCAAGTGCATATTTGGAGCCATTTGCGGCCTCTGGTGTAAAAGGAAAAATCTTCACTTTAAAACTACACAGAAACATTCTGAGAAATTTCTTTGTGACATGTGCATTCATCTCACAGATTTGAAATTTTCTGTTGATTCAGCAGTTTTGTGACACTTTTTTTGTAGAATCTGCAGTTGGATATTTGGAGCGCTTTAAGGCCTATTGTGGAAAATGAAATATCTTCACATAAAAACTATACAGAAACATTCTGAGAAACTTCTATGCGATGTGTGCATTCATCTGACAGAGTTGAACCTTTCTTTAGTTTGAGCAGTTTGGAAACACTCTTTTTGTAGAATTTGCAATTTAATATTTGGAGCACTTTGAGGACTATGGTGGAAAAGGAAATACCTTCACATAAAAACTACACAAAACTATTGTGACAAACTTCTTTGTAATGTGAGCATTCATCTCACAGATTTGCACCTTTCTTTTGATTGAGCAGTTTGAAACTCTCTTTTTCTGTAATCCGCCAGGGTATATTTGGAGCATTTTGTGGCCTATGGTAGAAAAGGAAATATCTTCTCATAAAAAGTACACAGAAGCATTCTGAGAAACTTCTCTGTGATGTATTCATTCTACTCACAGAATTGAACCTATTTTTTGATTGAGATTATTTTTCAATAATCTGCAAGTAGATATTGGGAGCCCTTTGCGGCCTAATAAGGAAAAGGAAATATCTTCACATAAAAACTACACAGAAGAATTTTGAGAAACTTCTTTGTGATGTGTGCATTCATCTCAGAGTGTTGAACGTTTCTTTTGATTGAGCAGTTTGGAAACACTCTTTTTGCAGAATGTGCAAGTTGATATTTGTAGCGCTTTGAGCCCTCCAGTGGAAAAGGAAATATCTTTACATAAAAACTACACAGAAGCATTCTGAGAAATTTCTCTGTGATCTGTGCATTCAACTCACAGGGTTGAATCTATCTTTTGATTGAGCAGTTTTGAGTCTCTCTGTGGAATCTGCAAGTGTATATTTGGAGCCCTGTGCGGCCTGTGGTGGAAAAAGAAATATCATCATATAAAAACTGCACAGAAGCATTCTGAGAAAGTTTTTGTGATGTGTGCATTCATCTCACGGAGTTGAACCTATCTTTTGATTGGGCTGTTTTGCAACTCTCTTTTTGAAGAATCTGGAATGGGTATTTTGAGGCCTTTGTGGCATATGGTGCAAAAGGAAACATCTTTACATAAAAACTACACAGAAGCATTCTGAGAAACTTTTCTGTGATGTGTGCATTAAACTCACAGAGTTGAAGCTACCTTTGATTGATCAGTTTTGAATCTCTCTTTTTGTAGAATCTGCAAGTGGAAATTTGGAGCCCTTTGCAGCCAATGGTGGAAAAGGAGATATCTTCAAATGAAAACTACAGAGAAATATTCTGAGAAACTTCTTGTTGTTGTGTGCATTCATCTCTCACACTTGAACCTATCTTTTGATTGAGCAGTTTTGAAACCCTCTGTTTGTAGAATCTGAAAGTGGATATCTGGAGAGCTTTGGTGCCTATTGTGGAAAAGGAAATATCATCACAAAAAAACTACACAGAAACATTCTGAGAAACTTCTTTGTCATGTATGCATTCACCTCACAGAGTTGAACCTTTCTGTTGATTGAGCAGTTTTCACATTCTTTTTGTAGAGTCTGCAAGTGGATATTTGGAGCGCTTTGAGGCCTATTGTGGAAAAGGAAATATCTTCACAGAAAAATTACACAGAAGCATTCTGAGGAAGTTCTTTGCGATGTGTGCATTCATCTGACAGAGTTGAACATTTCTTTTGTTTGATCAGTTTGGGATCACTCTTTTTGTAGAATCTGCAAGTGGATATTTGGAGCGTTTTGAAGTCTACGGTGTAAAAGTAAATATCTACACATAAAAACTACACAGAAGGATTCTGAGAAAATTCTTTGTGATGTGTGCATTCTTGTCACAGAGTTGAACCTATCTTATCATTGAGCAGTTTTGAGACACTCTTTTTGTAGAAAATGCAAGTGGATATTTGGAGTGCTTTGAGGTCTATTGAATAAAATGAACTATCTTCATATAAAAACTACACAGAATCATTCTGAGAAACTTCATTGTGATGAGTGCATTCATAACACAGAGGTAAACCTATTTTTGATTCAGTAGTTTTGAATCTCTCTTTTTGTATAATCTGCAAGTAGATATTTGGAGCCCTTTTCAGCCTATGGAGGAAAAGGAAATATCTTGAAATAAAAACTACACGGAGGCATTCTGAGAATCTTCTTTGTGATGTGTGCATTCATCTCACAGTGTTGAACCTTTCTTTCGGTAGAGCAGTTTTGAAACACTGTTTTTGAAAAATCTGCAAGAGGATATTTTGAGCTCTTTGAGGCCTATTGTGGACAAGAAAATATGTTCACATAAAAACTATAAAGAGGCATTCTGAGTAACTTCATTTGATGTGTAAATTCACCGAACAGAGATGAACCTATCTTATGATTGAGCAGTTTTGAAACACTCTCTTTGTATAATCTTCCAGTTGATATTTGAAGCGCTTTGAGGCCTGTTGTGGAAAAGAAATATCTTCACATAAAAAGTGCACAGAAGCATTCTGAGAATCTTCTTTGTGATGTGTGCATTCATCTCACAGAGTTGAACCTTTCTTTTGGTAGAGCAGTTTTGAAACACGGTTTTTGTAAAATCTGCAAGAGGATATTTTGAGCACTTTGATGCCTATTGTGGAAAAGTAAATATGTTCACACAAAAACTATGTAGAGGCATTCTGAGTAACATCTTTGTGATGTGTGCATTCATCTCACAGAGTTGAACCTTTCTTTTGATTGAGCAGTTTTGAAACTCTCTGTAGAATCTGCAAGTGGATATTTTGAACACTTTGAGGACTATAGTGGAAAAGGAAATATCTTCACATAAAAACTACACAGAAGCATTCTGAGAAACTTCTTTGTGATGTGTGCATTCATCTCACAGAGTTGAACCTTTTTTTGATGGAGGAGTTTTGAAACACTCCTTTTGTAGATTCTGCAAGTGGATATTTGGTGTGCACTGAATCCTATTGTGGAAAAGGCAATATCTTCATATAAAAACTACAGAGAAGAATTCTGAGAAACTTATTTTTGATGTGTGCACTCATCTCACATAGTTGAACCTTTCTTTTCATTAAGAAGTTTTGAAACACAGATTTGTAGAATCTGCAAGTGGATATTTGGAGAGATTTGAGGTCTACTCTGTAAAAGCAGTTATCTTCACATAAAAACTACACAGAAGCATTCTGAGAAAATTTTGTGATGTGTGCATTCATCTCACACAGTTGAAACATTATTTTGATTGAGTAGTTTTGAAACACTCTTTCTGTAGTATCTGCAAGTGGATATTTTGAGCATTTTGAGGCCTATAGTGGAAAAGGAAATATCTTCACATAAAACCTACACAGAATCATTCTGAGAAACTACTTTTTATGTGTGCATTCATCTCACAGAGTTGAATCTATGTTATGGTTTAGCAGTTTTCAAACACTCTCTTTGTAGAATCTACAAGTGGATCCTTGGAACGATTTGAGGCATATTGTGGAAAAGGAAGTATGTTCACATAAAAACTACACAAAAGCATTCTGAGAAAGTTATTTGTGATGTGTGCATTAAACTCACAGAGTCTAATCTGTCTTTTGATTGAGCAGTTTTTAAATACTGTTTTTGTAGAATCTGCAGTGGATATTTGGTGGACTTTGAGGCCTATTTTGGAAAAGGAAATATCTTCACATAAAAACTACACAGAAACATTCTGAGAAACTTCTTTGTGATGTGTTCATTCAACTCACAGACTTGAACCTATATTTCGATTGAGCAGTTATGGATTTCTCTTTTTGTAGGATTTGCAAGTGGATATTCAGAGTCCTTTGTGGTCCATGGAGGCAAAGGAAATATCTTCAAATAAAAACTACACAGAAGCATTCTGAGAAACTTCTTTGTGATGTGTGCATTCATCTCACAGAGATGAACCTATCTCATGACTGAGCAGCTTTGAAACACTCTCTTTGCAGAATCTTCAGGTGGATATTTGGAGCGCTTTGTGGCCTATTGCATAAAAGGAAATATCTTCACATAAAACCTACAAAGAATTATTCTGAGAAACTACTTTGTGATGTGCGTATTCATCTAACAGAGTTGTACGTTTCTTTTGATTGAGCAGTTTTGAAACACTGTTTTTATAGAATCTGCAAGTGGATATTTGGAATGCTTTGAGGCCTACTGTGGAAAAGCCAATATCTTCACGTAAAAACCACACAGAAGCATTCTGAGAAATATCTCTGTGATGTGTGCATTCATCCCACAGAGTTGAAAGTTTCTTTTGATTGAGAACTTTTGAAACACACTTTTTGTAGAATCTGCAAGTGGATATTTGAAGCCCTTTGCAGCCTATGGAGGAAAAGGAAATATCCTGAAATAAATACTACATAGAAGCATTCTGAGAAACTTCTTTGTGATGTTGCATTCATCTCATAGATTGGAACCTATCTTATGATTGAGCAGTTTTGAAACACTCTCTTTGTAGAATCTGCAAGTGGAAACTTGGACGATTTCAACCCTATTGTAGAAAAGGGAATATCTTCACAAAAAAAAATACTTCACAGAAGCATTCTGAGAAACTTCTTTGTGATGTGTGCATTCATCTCACAGAGATGAATATTTCTTTTGATTGTGCAGTTTTGAAACACTGTTTTTGTAGAATCTGCAACTGGATATTTGGAGCCCTTTGTGGCATATATGGGAAAAGGAAATATCTTCAGATAGAAACTACACAGAAACATTATGAGAAACTTCTTTGTGATGTGTGCATTCATCTCACAGAGTTGAACTTTTGTTTTGATTGAGAAGTTTCGAAACACTCCATTTGTAGAATATGCAAGTGGATATTTGGAGCCCTTTGCGGCATATGGTGAAACAGGAAATACCTTCACATAAAAACTACACAGAAGCATTCTGAGAAACTTCTCTGTGATGTTTGCATTCATCTCACAGAGTTGAACCTTTCTTTTGTTTGAGTAGTTTTGAAACCTCCTTTTGTAGAATATGCAAGTGGATATTTGGAGCGCATTGAGGCCTATTGTAGAAAAGGAAATATCTTCACATAAAAACTACACAGAGGCATTCTGAGAAACTTCTTTGTGATGTCTGCATTCAACTCACAGAATTGAACTGATCTTTTGATTGAGCAGTTTTGAAACTCTCTTTTTGTAGAATCTGGAAGTGGGTATGTGGAGCCGATTGTGGCCTACGGTGGAAAAGGAAATATGTTCACATAAAAACTGCACAGAAGCATTCTGAGAAACTTCTTTGTGATGTGTGCATTCATCGCAAAGAGTTGAACATTTCTTTTGATTGAGCAGTTTCGAAAAACACTTTTTGTAGAATCTTCAAGTGGATATTTAGAGAGATTTGAGGCCTCCAGTGGAAAAGGAATTATCTTCACGTAAAAACTACACAGAAGCATTCTGAGAAACTTCTTTGTGTTGTGTGCACCCATCTCACAGAGTTGAACATTTCTTATGATTGTGCAGTTTTGAAACCCTCTTTTTGTAGAATCAGCAAGTAGATATTTGGAAAGATTTGAGGTCTATTGTGGAAATGGAAATATCTTCACATAAAAACTTCACAGAAGAATTATGAGAAACTTCTTTGTGATGTGTGCATTCAACTGACAGAGTTAAACCTATGTTTTCATTTAGCAGTTTTGAAACTCTCTTGTCGTAGAATCTGGAAGTGGGTATTTGAAGCCGTTTGCATCCTATGGTGGAAAAGGAAATATCTTCATTAAAAAACTACACAGAATCATTCTGAGAAACTTCTTTGTGATGTGTGCATTCTTTTCAAAAGGTTGAAAATATCTTTTAATTGAGAAGTTTTGGGTCTCTCTTTTTGTAGAATCTGCAAGAGAATATTTCAAGCCCTTTGTGGCCTATGTTGTAAAATGAAATACCAACACATAAAAACTACACAGAAGAATTCTGAGAAACTTCTTTGGGATGTGTGCGTTCTTCTCACAGAGTTGAACTTTTCTTTTCATTAAGCAGTTTTGAAACACTATTTTTGAAGAATCTGCAAGTGGATATTTGGAGCGCTTTGAGGCCTATTGTGGAAAAGGAAATATCTTCACAAAAAAACTACACAGAAACATTCTGAGAAACTTCTTTGTGATGTGTGCATTCAACTCACAGAGTTGAACTTTTCTTTTGATTGACCAGTTTGGAAACATTCTTTTTGTAGAAACTGCAATTGGATATGTGGAGCCTTTTGCGGCCTAAGGTGGAAAAGGAAATATCTTCACATAAAAACTACACAGAAGCATTCTGACAAACTACCTTGTGATGTGTGCATTCATCTGACAGGGTTGAACTTTTATTTTGATTGAGCAGTTTTGAAACACTCTTTTGTAGAATCTGCAAGTGGATCTTTGGAGAGCTTTGAGGCCTATTGTAAAAAAGAAAATATCTTCACATATAAACTACACAGAAGGAGTCTGAGATACTTTTTGCGATGTGTGCATTCATTTCACCTTTCTTTTGACTATGCAGTTTGGAAATACTCTTTTAGTGTGATCTGGAAGTGGATATTTGCAGTGTTAGGAGGCATATTGAGGAAGAGGAAATATCTTCCCATAAAAAATACACAGAAGGATTCTGAGAAACTTATTTGTGATGTGTGCATTCAACTCACGGAGTTGAACCTATCTTTTGGTAAGCAGTTTTGAAACTCTCTTTTTTTGGAATCTGCAGGTGTATATTTGGAGCGCTTTGAGGCCTATGGTGTAAAAGGAAATGTCTTCACATAAAAACTACACAGAAGCATTCAAAGAAACTTCTTTGTGATGTGAGCATTCTACTCACAGAGTTGAACTTATCTTTTTATCGAGGAGCTTTGAAAATCTCTTTTTGTAGAATCTGCAAGTGGATATTTAGAGCCCCTTGCTGCCTGTGGTGGAAAAAGAAATATCTTCACATAAAAACTTCACAGAAGCATTCTGAAAAAACTTCTTGGTGATGTGTGCATTCATCTCACAGAGTTCAACATTTCTTTTGATTGAGCTGTTTTGAAACACTATTTTTGTAGAATCTGCAAGTGGATATTTGGAGCACTTTGAGGCCTATTGTGGAAAAGGAAATATCTTCACATGAAAACAACACAGAAACATTCTGACAAATTTCTTTGTGATGTGTGCGTTCATCTCACAGAGTTGAACTTTTCTTTTGATTGAGCAGTTTTCAAACACTGTTTTTGTAGTATCTCTAAGTGGATATTTTGAGTGCATTGAGGCCTATGGTGGAAAAGGATATATCTTCACATAAAATCTACACAGAAGCATTCTGAGAAACTCCTTTCTGATGTGTGCATTCAAATCACAGATTTGAACCTATCTTCTGATTGCACAGTTTTCAAATTCTCTTTTTGTATAATCTGCAAGTGGATATTTGGAACTCTTTGTGGCCTCTGGTGGAAAAGGAAATAACTTCACATAAAAACTACACAGAAGCATTCTGAGAAACTTCATTGTCATGTGTGGATTCATCTCAGAGAGTTAAACCTTTCTTTTCACTGAGCGCTTTTGAAACAGTCTTTTTGTAGAATCTGCAAGTGGATATTTGGAGCCCCTTGAGACCTACTGTGGAAAAGAAAATATCTTTACATAAAAACAACACAGATGCATTCTGAGAAACTTCTTTGCAAGGTGTGCATTCATCTCACATAGTTCAACTTTCTTTTGATTGAGCAATTTTGAAACACACTTTTTGTAGAATCTGCAACTAGATATTTGGAGGGCATTGAGGCCTATGGTGGAAAAGGAAATATCTTCACATAAAGCTACACAGAAGTATTCTGAAAAACTTCTTTGTGAAATGTTCGTTCAACACACTGTGGTGAACATTTCTTTTCATTGAGCAGTTTTGAAAACCACTATTTGAAGAATCTTCAAGTGGATATTTGTAGTGCTTAGAGGCCTATTGTGGAAAAGGAAATATCCTCACATAAAAACTACACAGAAGCATTCCAAGAAACTTGTTTGTGATGAGTGCATTCAGCTAACAGAGTTGAACCTATCTTTTGATAGAGCAATTTTGAAACTCTCTTTTTGTAGAATCTGCAAGTGGATATTTGGAGCCCTTTGTGGCCTATGGTGGAAAAGGACATATCTTCACATAAAAACTACACAGAAGCATTCTGAGAAATGTTTTTTTACGTGTGCATTCATGTCACAGAGCTCTTTGAGGCCCATTGTGGAAAAGGATATATCTTCACATAAAAACTACACAGAAGCATTCTGAGAAACTTCTGTGTAATATGTGCATTCATCTCCCAGAGTTGTAACTTTCTTTTGATTGAGCAGTTTGGGAACACTCTTTTAGTAAAATATACAAGTGGATACTTGGAGCGCTTTGAGGCCTATTATAGAAATGGAAATATCTTCACATAAAAACTAAACAGAAGCATTCTGAGGAACTTCATTGAGATGTGTGCATTGAACTCAGAGTTGTACCTATCTTTTGATAGAGGAGTTTTGAAACTCTCTTTATGTAGAATCTGCAAGTTAATATTTGGAGCCCTTTGTGGCCTATGGTGTAAAAGGAAATACCTTCACATAAAAACTACACAGAAGCATTCTGAGAAACTTCTTTTTGTTGTGTGCATTCATGTCAAAGAGATGAAGCTTTAATTCGATTGATCAATTTTGAAACGCTCTTTTTGTAGAATCTACAAGTGGATATTTGGAACGCTTTGGAGAGAATGGTGGAAATGAAAATATCTTCATATAAAAACTATGGAAAAGCATTCTGAGAAAAGACTTTGTGATATGTGCATTCTAATCACAGAGTTGAATCATTCTTTTGATTGTGCAGTTTTGAAACTCTCTTTTTTTAGAATCTGCAAGTAGATACTCGGAGGACTTTGTGGAGTATTGTGGAAAAGGAAATAACTTTGCATAAAAGCTACACAGACTCGTTCTGGGAAACTTCTTTGTGAAGTGTTCATTCAACTCACAGAGTTTAACTTTTCCTTTGATTGAGCAGTTTTGAAACACTATTTTTTTTTAAATCTGCAAGTGGATATTTGGTGTGCTTTGCGGCCTGTGGTGGAAAAGCAAATATCTTCACGTAACAACTAGACAGAAGCATTCTGAGAAACTTCTTTGTGATGTGTGCATACATCTCACAGTAGTTGAACCTTTCTTTTGATTGAGCAGTTTTGAAACACTCTTCGTAGAATCTGCAAGTGCATATTTAGAGCGCTTTGAGGCGTGTGGTGGAAAAGGAAATATCTTCACATAAACACTAGACAGAAGCATTCTGAGAAATGTCTTTATGATGTGTCCATTCATCTCACAGAGTTGAAACTTTCTTTTCATTCAGCAGTTTTGAAACACTCTTTTTATAGAATCTGCAAGTGGATATTTGGAGCGCTTTGAAGAGAATGATGGAAATGTAAATATCTTCATATAAAAACTATGGAGAAGCATTCTGAGAAACGGCTTTGTTATGTGTGCCTTCAACTCACAGAGTTGAAACTTTCTTTTGATTGAGCAGTTTTGAATCCCGCTTTTTGTAGAATCTGCAAGTGGATATTTGGAGAGCTTTGGGGCCTATGGTGGAAAAGGAAATATCTTCACATAAAAACCAGACAGAAGCATTCTTAGAAACTCCTTTATGATGTGTGCGTTTATCTCACAGAATTCAACATTTCTTTTCATTGAGCAGTTTTGAAACACTTTTTGTGGAATCCGCAATTGGATATTTGGAACGCTTTGCCTCCTATAGTGGAAAAGGAAATATGTTCACATATAAACTAGACAGAAGCATTCTGGGAATCTTCTCCATGACGAGTACATTCACCTCACTGGGTTGAACCTTTCTTTTGATTAAATAGTTTTGAAACACTCTTTTTGTAGAATCTGCAGGTGGATATATGGAACACTTTAAGGCCTATGGTGGAAAAGGAAATACCTTCACATAAAAGCTACACAGAAGCATTCTGAGAAACTTCTTTATGATGTGTGCAATCACCTCACAGAGTTGAAACTTTATTTTGATTCAGCAGTTTTGAAACACTCTTTTTGAAGAATATGCAAGTGGATATTTGAAGTGCTTTGTGGCCTATAGTGGAAAATTTTATATCTTCAAATGAAAACTAGACAGAAGCATTCTGAGAAACTTCTTTGGGATATGTGCATTCATCTCACAGACTTGAAACTTTCTTTTGATTTAGCACTTTAGAAACACCCTTTTGTAAAATCTGCACGTGGATATTTGGAGCGCTTTGCTTTCTCTAGTGGAAAAGGAAGTATCTTCACACAGAAACAAGACAGAAGCATTCTGAGAAACCTGTTTGTGATGTGAGCATTCCTCTCACAGAGTTGAACCTTTCTTTTGATTGAGCAGTTTTGAAACACACTTTTTGTTGAATCTGCAAGTGGATATTTGGAGAGCCTTGGGGATTATGGTGGAAAAGTAAATATCTTCACATAAAAACTGCACAGAGGTATTCTGAGAAACTTCCTTCTGATGTGTACATTCAGCTCACCGAATTGGACCTTTCCTTTGATTGAGCAGTTTTGAAACACTCTTTTGTAGAATCTGCAATTGGATATTTGAAGTGCTTTCCAGCCTCGAGGGGAAAAGGAAATATCTTCACATAAAAACTAGACAGAAATATTCTGCGAAACTTCTTTGTGATGTGTGCATTCTTCTCAAGGAGTTGAACTTTTCTTTTGATTCAGCAGTTTTGAAACACTCTTTTTGTAGAATCTGCAAGTGGATATTTGCAGCGCTTCCAGTTCTACAGTGTTAAAGGAAATATCTTCACATCAAAACTAGACAGAAGCATTCTGAGAAACTGCTTTGTGATGTGTGCATTCATCTCACAGGTTTGAACTTTTCTTTTGATTAAGCAGTTTTGAAACACACTTTTTGTAGAATCTGAAGGTGGATATTGGGGCCTATGGTATGAAAGAAAATATCTTCACATGAAAACTAGACAGAAGCATTCTGAGAAACAACTTTGTGATGTGTGCATTCATCTCACTGAGTTGAACGTTTCTTTTGATTGAGTAGTTTTGAAACGCACATTTGTAGAATCTACCAGTGGATATTTGGAATGCTTTGGGGCCTACGGAGGAAAAGGAAATATCTTCACATAAAAACTAGACGGAAGCATTCTGAGAAGCTTCTTTGTGATGTGTGCATTCAACTAACACAGTTGAACCTTTGTTTTGATTGAGCAGTTTTGAAACACTCTTTTTGAAGAATCTGCAAGTGGATATTTGGAGCGCTTTGTGGCCTATTGTGGAAAAGGATATATCTTCAAATAAAAACTAGACAGAAGCACTTTGAGAAACTTCTTTATGAGATGTGCATTCATCTCACAGACTTCAACCTTTCTTTCAATTGAGCAGTTTTGAAACACTATTTTTGTAGAATCTGCAAGGGATATTTGAAGAGATTTGAGGCCTAATGTGGAAAAGGAATTATCTTCACATGAAAACTAGACAGAAGCATTCTGAGAATCTTCTTTGTGATGTGTGCATTCATCTCACAGAGCTGAAACTTTCTTTTGATTCAGCAGTTTTGAAATACTCTGTTTATGGAATCTGCTTGTGTATTTTTGGAGCGATTTGAGTCATGTGGTGGAAAAGGAAATATCGTCATATGAAAACTAGAAAGAAGCATTCTGAGAAAATTCTTTGTGATGTGCGCATTCAACTCACAGAGCTGAAAGTT
>NT_187424.1:48537-57122 GCF_000001405.40 Homo sapiens
CAGGAAACTATTTTGTGATGTGCATTTAATTCAAAGAGCTGAACATTTCCTCTGATTGAGCTGCTTGGAAAGCATCTTTCTGTAGTATCTGCAAATGGACATTTTGAGCGCTTTGAGGCCTATGGTGGAAAAGGAAATATCTTCACATAAAAACTAGACAGAAGCATTCTGAGAAAATTCTTTGTGATGTGTGCATTCAACTCACAGATTTGAACCTTTCTTTTGATAGAGCAGTTTGAAAGCTGTCTTTTTGTAATATCTACCAGTGGATATTTGGATCACTTTACATCATGGATTGGAAAAGGAAACATCTTCACATAAAAACTAGACAAAAGCATACTGAGAAACTTCTTTGTGATGTGTCCATTCATCTCATAGAGTTAAATCTTTCTTTTGATTGAGCAGGTTTGCAACACTCTTTTTGTAGGTTCTGCAAGTGGATATTTGGAGCACTCTGTGGCCGATAGTGGAAAAGGAAATATCTTCACATAAAAAATACACAGAAGCACTCTGAGAAACTTCTCTCTGTTGTGTGTAGTCATATCACAGACGTGAAACTTTCTTTGATACAGCAGTTTTAAAACGCTCTTTTTGGAGATTCTGAAAGTAGATATTTGGAGAGACTTGAGGCCTATGGTGGAAAAGGAAATATCTTCACATAAAAGGTAGACAGAAGAATTCTGAGAAGCTTCTTTGTGATATGTGCATCCATCTCAAAGAGTTGAACCTTTCTTTTGATTGAGTATTTTTGAAGCACTCTGTTTGTAGAATCTTCAAGTGGATATTTGGAGTGCTTTGTGGCCTGTGGTGGAAAAGGAAATATCTTCACATAAAAACTAGACAGAAGCATTCTGAGAAACTTATTTGTGATGTGCTCATTCAACTCACATATTTAAACTTTTCTTTTGATTGAGCAGTTTGGAAACAGTCTTTTAGTAGTACCTGCAAACGGATATTTGGAGCGCTTTGGGGCCTGTGGTGGAAAAGGAAATATATACACATGAAAACTAGACAGAAACATTATGAGAAACTGCTCTGTGATGCGGGCATTCATCACCAGAGTTGAACTTTTCTTTTGATTGAACAGTTTTGAAACATTCTTTCTGTAGAATCTGAAGGGGATATTTGGAGCGCTTTGCGGCCTATGGTGAAAAACGAAATATCTTCACATAAAAACTAGACAGAAGCATTCTGAGAAGGTGGTTTGTGATGTGTGCATTCATCTCACAGAGTTAAACCTTTCTTTTGATTGAGCAGTTTTGAAACACTCTTATTGTACAATCTGCAAGTGGATATTTGGAGAGTTTGAGGCCACTGGTGGAAAAGCAAATATCTTCACATAAAAACTAGACAGAACCACTCTGAGAAATCTCTTTGAGATGCGTGCATTCAACTCATAGAGTTGGACCTTTCCTTTGATTGAGCAGTTTGGAAGCAGTCTTTTTGCAGTATCTGCAAATGGATATTTGGAGCACTTTCAGGCCTATAGTAGGAAAGGAAATATCTTCACATAAAACTAGACAGAAAATTACTGAGAAACTTCTTAGTGATGTGTGCATTCATCTCACAGAGTTGAAACTTTCTTTTGATTTAGCAGTTTGGAAACACTCTTTTAGTAGAAACTGCAAGGGGATATTTGGAGCACTTTGCAGTTTTTGGTAGAAAAGGATATATCTTCACATAAAAAATAAACAGAAGCATTCTGAGGAACTTCTTCATGGTGCGGGCATTCATCTCAAAGAGTTGAACTTTTCTTTTGATTGAGCAGCTTTGAAAAACTCTTTCTGCAGAATCTGCAAGTTGATTTTTGGAGTGCTTTGCAGCCTATAGTAGAAAAGGAAATATCTTCACATAAAACTAGACAGAAGCATTCTGAGAAACTTCTTTGTGATGTGTGCATTCATGTCACAGAGTTGAACCTTTCTTTTGTTTGAGCAGTTTTGAAACTCTCTTTTTGTAGAATCTTCAAGTGGATATTTTTAGCACTTTGAGGCCTATGGTGGAAAAGAAAACATCTTCACATAAAAACTAGTCAGAAGCTTTCTGAGAAACTTCTTTGTGATGTGTGTATTCAACTCATGGAGTTGAACCTTTCTTTTGATTCAGCAGTTTGGAAACAGTCTTTTTGTAGTATCTGCAAATGGATATTTGGAGAGCTTTGAGGCCTATGGTGGAAAAGGAAATATCTTCACATAAAAACTAGACAGAAGCATTCTCAGAAACCTCTTTGTGATGTGTGCATTCATCTCACAGAGTTGAACTCTTGTTTTGATTGAGCAGTGTTGAAACACTCTTTATAGAATCAGCAAGTGGATATTTGTTGCGCTTTGAGGCCTATGGTGGAAAAGAAAATATCTTAACAGAAAAACCACAAAGAAGAATTCTGAGAAACACCTTTGTGGTGTGTGGTTTCATCTCTCAAATTTGAACCTTTCACTTTATTGAGCAGTTTGGAAACAATCTTTTTGTAGTATCTGCAAATGGATTTTTGGAGCTCTTTGAGGCCTGTGGTGAAAAAGGAAGTATCCTCACATAAAAACCAGACAGAAGGATTCCTAGAAACTGCTTTGTGATGTGTGCATTAATCTCACAGATTTGAAACTTTCTTTTGATTGAGTAGTTTTGAAACACTCTTTGTGTAGAATCTGCAAGTGGATATTTGGAGCGCTTTGAGGCCTATGGTGGAATAGGAAATATCTTCACATTAAAACAGAAGAGAAGCATTCTGAGAAACTTCTTTGTGTTGTGTGCATTCATTTCACAGAGTTGAACCATTCCTTTGATTGAGCAGTTTACCAACTGTCATTTTGTAGAATCTACAGAGGGATATTTGTGAACTCATTGATGCCTATGGGGTGTTAGGAAATATCTTCATATAAAAACTAGAGAGACACTTTCTGAGAAACTTCTTTGCGATGTGTGCATTCATCTCACAGAGTTGAACTTTTCTTTTGATTGAGCAGTTTGGAAACAGTCTTTTTTGGAATCTGCAAATAGATATTTTGTTTGCTTTGAGGCCTATGGTGGAAAAGGACATATCTTCAAATAAAAACTAGACAGAAGCATTCTGAGAAACTTCTTTGTGATGTGTGCACTCATCTCACAGAGTTGAAGCTTTCTTTTGATTGAGCAGTTTTGAAAAACTCTTTTTGTACAATCTGCAAGTCGATATTTGGAGCGTTTTGTGTCCTATATTGGAAAAGGTAATATCTTCACATGGAAACTTCACAGAAGCATTCTGAGAAACTTCTTTGTGATATGTGCATTCATCTCACAGGGTTTAACTTTCTTTTGATTGAGCAGTTTGGAGCCCATCGTTTTGTAGAATCTGTGAAGGGGTATTTTTTTTCCCATTGAGGCTCATGGGGTAATAGGAAATATCTTCACATAAAAACTAAACAGAAAATTTCTGAGAAAATTATTTGTGATATCTGCTTTCATCCCACAGAGTTGAAACTTTCTTTTGATTGGGCAGTTTGGAATCAGTCTTTTTGTAGAATCTGCAAGTGGATATTTGGAGGGCTTTGAGACCTATGGTGAAAAAGGAAATATCTTCACATTAAAAATATACAGAAGCATTCTGAGAAACTTCTTTGTCTTGTGCGCATTAATTTCACAGACTTGAACCTTTGTATTGATTGAGCAGTTTGGAAACAGTAGTTTTGTAGAATCTGTAGAGGGATATTTTTCAGCCTACTGAGGCCTCTGGGGAAATAGGGAATATCTTCAGATAAGAACTAGACAGAAGCATTCTGAGAAACTTCCTTCTGATGTGTGCATTCATTTCACAGAGTTGAACCTTTCTTTTGATTGAGCAGTTTGAAAACAGTCTTTCTGTAGTAACTGCAAATGGATATTTGGAGTGGTTTGAGGCATACGTTTAAAAAGGAAAACAAACAAACAAACAAACAAGCCCTTCAAAAAGTGGGCTAAGGACATGAACATACACTTCTCAAAAGAATATGTTTATGCAGCCAAAAAACAAATGAAAAAATGCCCACCATCACTGGCCATCAGAGAAATGCAAATCAAAACCACAATGAGATACCATCACACACCAATTAGAATGGCAATCATTAAAAAGTCAGGAAACAACAGGTGCTGGAGAGGATGTGGAGAAATAGGAACACTTTTACACAGTGGGTGGCACTGTAAACTAGTACAACCATTGTGGAAGTCAGTGTGGCGATTCCTCAGGGATCTAGAACTATAAATACCATTTGACCCAGCCATCCCATTGCTGGGTATATACCCAAAGGACTATAAATCATGCTTCTATAAAGACACATGCACACGTATGCTTATTGCGGCACTAGTCACAATAGCAAAGAGTTGGAACCAAACCAAATGTCCAACAATGATAGAGTTGATTAAGAAAATATGGCACATATACACCATGGAATACTAGGCAGCCATAAAAAATGATGAGTTCATGTCCTTTGTAGGGACATAGATGAAAGTGGAAATCATCATTCTCGGTAAACTATCGCAAGAACAAAAGACCAAACACTGCATATTCTCACTCATAAGTGGGAATTGAACAATGAGAACACATGGACACAGGAAGGGGAACGTCATACTCTGGGGACTGTTGTGGGGTGGGGTGAGAGGGCAGGGATAGCATTAGGAGATATACCTAATGCTAAATGATGAGTTAATGGGTGCAGCACACCAGCGTGGTACATGTATACATATGTAACTAACCTGCACATTGTGCACATGTACCCTAAAACTTAAAGTATAATAATAATAAAATAAATAAATAAATAAATAAATACATAAATAAATATAAAGGAAATATATTCACATAAAAACTTGACAGAAGCATTCTGAGGAACTTCTTTGTCATGTGTGCATTGATTTCACAGAGTTGAAACTTTCTTTTGATTGAGCAGTTTTGAAACACTCTTTTTTCAGAATCTGCAACTGGATAATTAGAGAACGTTGAGGCCTATGGTGGAAAAGGAAATATCTTCACATAAAAATCAGACACAAGCATTCAGAGAAACTTCTTTGTGATGTGCGCATTCAACTCCCTGTGTTGAACTTTTCTTTTGATTGAGTAGTTTTAACAAACTCTTTTTGTAGTATCAGAAACTGGATATTTGTAGCGTTTTGAGGCCTATAGAGGAAAAGGAAATATCTTCACATAAAACCCAGAAAGAAGCATTCTGAGAGAATTCTCTTCGATTTCTGCATTCATCTCACAGAGTTGAACCTTTCTTTTTTGAGAAGTATTTAATCATTCTTTTTGTAGAATCTGCAAGGGGATATTTGGAGCACTTTGAGGCCTTTGGCGGAAAAGGTAATATCTTCACATAAAAATCAGACACAAGCATTCTGAGTAACTTCTTTGTGATGTGTGCATTCAACTCCCTGTGTTGAAACTTTCTTTTGATTGAGCAGTTTTAACACACTCTTTTTGTAGAATCTGCAATTGGATATTTGGAGCATTTTGATGCCTATGATGGAAAAGGAAATATCTTCACATAAAAGCTAGACAGAAGCATTCTGAGAATGTCCTTTGTGATGTATGCATTCATCTCACTGAGCTGAACCTTCCTTTTTTGAGAAGTATTTAAACACTCTTTTTGTAGAATCTGTAAGTGGATACTTGGAGTGCTTTGAGACCTTTGGTGGAAAAGGAAATATCTTCACAGCAAAACTAGACAGAAGCATTCTGAGAAACCTCTTTGTGATATGTACATTCATCTCACAGAGTTGAGCCTTTCTTTTGATTGAGCAGTTCAGAAACACTCTTTTTGTAGGATCTGCAAGTGGATATTTGGAGTGATTTGAGGCCTATAGTGGAAAAGGAAATAACTTCATGTAAAAAGTAGACAGAAGCATTCTGAAAAACTTCTTTGCAATGTGTGCATTCATCTCACAAAGTTAAACCTATCTTATGATTGAGCTGTTTTGAAACACTCTTTTTGTGGAATCTTCAATTGGATACTTGGAGTGCTTAGATGCCTGTGTTGGAAAAGGAAATATCTTCACATAAAAACAAGCAAGAAGCATTCTGAGAAAGTTCTTTGTGATATGTGCATTCATCTCACAGAGCTGAAATTTTCTTTTGATTGAGAAGTTTGGACACCGTCTTTTTCTCACCTGCAAATGGATATTTAGAGCACTTTGAGGCCTATGGTGAAAAAGGAAATATCTTCCCCTAAAAATTAGGCAGAAGCATTCTGAGAAACTTCTTTGTGATGTGTGCATTCATGTCACAGAGCTGAAACTTTCTTTTGATTGAGAAGTTTTGAAAAACTCTTTCGAAGAGTGTGCAAGTGAATATTTGGAGCGCTTTGAGGCCTATGGTGGAAAAGGAAATATCTTCACATAAAAACTAGACAGAAGCATTCTGAGAAATTTCTTTGTGATGTGTGCATTCATCTCACGAAGTTGAACCATTCTTTTAATTGAGCAGTTTTGAAAAACGCTTTTTGCAGTATCTTCAAGTGGATATTTGTAGAGCTTTGAGGCCTATGGTAGAAAAGGAAACATTGTCACATAAAAACTAGACAGAAGCATTCTGAGAAACTTCTGCCTGATGGGTGTATTCATTTCATGGAGTTGAACCTTTCCTTGTATTGAACAGTTTGGAAACAGTCGTTTTGTAGAATCTGCAGAGAGATATTTTTGAGCCCATTGAGACGTATGGGGTGATAGGAAATATCTTCACATAAAAACTAGACAGAAACTTTCTGAGAAACTTCTTTCTGATGTGTGCTTTCATCTCACAGAGTTTAACTTTTCTTTTGATTGAGCAGTTTTGAAACAGTCTTTTTGTACAATCTATAAGTGGATATTTGGGGCACTTTCAGGCCTATGGTGGAAAAAGATACATCTTCCCATAAAAACTAGACAGCAGCATTCTGAGAAACTTATTTGCGATCTGTGCATTCATCTCACAGAGTTGAACCTTTCTTTTGATTCAGTAGTTTTGAAACTGTCGTTTTGTAGAATCTGCAAAGGGATATTTGTGAGCCCATTGAGGCTTCTCGGGAGATAGGAAATATCTTCACATAACAACTGGAAAGATACTTTCTGAGAAACTATTTTGTCATGTGTGACTTCAACTCACCGGGTTGAAACTTTCTCTTGATTGAGCAGTTTGGGAACAGTCTTTTTGTAGAATCTGCAAATGAATATTTGGAGCACTTTTGGCCTATGTTGAAAAATGAAGTATCTTCCCATAAAAACTAGGAAGAAGCTTTTGGAGAAATTTCTTTGTGATGTGTGCATTCATCTCACACTGTTGAACTTTTCTTTTGATTGAGCAGTGTGGAAACACTCTTTTTGTAGAGTCTGCAAGTGGATATTTTGAGCGCTTTGTGGCCTATAGTGAAAAAGGAAATATCTTCACATAAAAACTGGACAGAAGAATTCTGAGAAACTTCCTTTGAATGTGTGCATTCATCTCACAGTGTTGAACTTTTTTCTTGATTGAGCAGCTTCTAAACAGTCATTTTGTAGAATATGCAAAGGAATATTTGTGAGCCCATTGATGCCTCTGGGGAAATAGGAAATATCTTCAAATAAAAACTAGACAGAAACTTTCTCAGAAACTTCTTTGTGATATGTGCATTCATCTCACTGAGTTGAACTTTATTTTGATTGAGCAGTTTGGAAACAGTCTTTTTCTAGTATCTGCAAATGGATATTTTAAGTGCTCTGAGGCCTACGGTGAAAAAGGAAATATCTTCAATATAAATCAGACAGAAGCATTCATAGAAACTCCTTTGTGATGTGTACATTCATCTCACAGATTAGAACTTTTCTTTTGATTGAGCAGTTTTGAACACTCTTTTAGCAGAATCTGCCATGTACGTTTGAAGCACATGAGGAATATGGTGGAAAAGGAATCTTCTTCACATTAAAACGAGACAGAAGCATTCTGAGAAATTTTTCTGTGATGGGTGCATTCATTTCACAGAGTTGAACCCTTCCTGTGATTGAATGGTTTGGAAACAGTCGTTTTGTATAATCTGCAGAAGGATATTTGTGAGCCGATTGAGGCCTATGGGGTGATAGGAAATATGTTCACATAAAAACCAGACAGAAAATTTATGAAAAACTTCTTTGTGATATTCGCTTTCATCTCACAGAGTTGAAACTTTCTTTTGATTGAGCAGTTTGAGAACAGTCTTTTAGTAGTATCTGCAAATGGATATTACCAGTGCTTTGAGACCTATGGTGAAAAAGGAAATATCTTCCCATAAATACAAGGCAGAAGGATTCTGAGAAACTTCTGTGTGATGTCTGCATTCATCTCACAAAGTTGAACCTTTCTTTTGATTGAGCAGTTTTGAAACACTCTCTTTGTAGTATCTGCAAGTGGATATTTGGAACTCTTTGAGGCCTATAGTGGAAAAGGAAATATCTTCACATAAAAAACTAGAAATAAGAATTCTGAGAAACTTCCTAGGAATGTGTGCTTTCTTCTCACACTGTTGAACCTTTCTTTTGATTGAGCAGCTTCAATACAGTCATTTAGTAGAATCTGAAAGAGAATATTTGAGAGCCCATTGAGGCCTCTTGGGAAATAAGAAATATCTTCACCTAAAAACTAGACAAAAACTCTC
>NT_187424.1:57142-84329 GCF_000001405.40 Homo sapiens
AAAACTAGACAAAAACTCTTTGAGCAACTTCTTTGTGATGTGTGCATTTATCACACACAGTTGAACTTTCTTTTGATTGAGCAGTTTGGAAACAGTCATTTGTATTATCTATAAATGGATATTTGGAGAGTAATGAGGCCTATGGTGAAAAAGGAAATATCTTCACATAAAAATCAGATGGAAGCATTCTTAGAAACTTCTTTGTGATGTGTACATTCATCTCACAGACTTCAACCTTTCTTTTGATTGAGCAGTTTTGAAACACTCTTTTTGCAAGATCTGCAAGTGTATATTTGAAGCACTTTGAGGCCTCTGGTGGAAAAGGAAACATCTTCACATAAAAGCTAGACACAAGCATTCTGAGAAACTTCTTTCTCATGGGTGCATTCATTTCACAAAGTTGAACCTTTCCTTTGATTGAGCAGTTTGAAAACCATCGTTTTGTAGAATCTGCAGAGGGATATTTGTGAGCCCATAGAGACCTATGGGGCGATAGGAAATATCTTCGCATAAAAACTAGACAGACACTTTCTGAGAAACTTCTTTGGGATGTGCGCTTTCATCTCACAGAGTTGAAACTTTATTTTAATTGAGCAGTTTGGGAACAGTCTTTTTGTAGTATCTGCAATTGGATATTAGCAGCTCATTGAGGCCTATGGTGAAAAAGGAAATATCTTCCCATAAAAACTAGGCAGAAGCATTCTGAGAAACTTCTTTGTGATGTGTGCATTCATCTCACAGAGTTGAACCTTTCTTTTTATTGAGCAGTTTGGAAACAGGCTTTTTTGTATTATCTGCAAATGGTAATTGGAGTGCTTTGAGGCATATGTTGGAAAAGGAAATATCTTCACATTAAAAGTAGACTGAAGCATTCTGAGAAACTTGTTTGTGATGTGTGCATTCATCTCACAGAGTTGAACTTTTTTTTTGATTGAGCAGTTTTGAAACACTCTTTTTGTACAATCTGCAAGTGGATATTTGGAGCGCTTTGAGGTCATTGGTGGAAAAGGACATATCTTCCGATAAAAACTAGACAGAAGTATTCTGAGAAACTTTTTGTGATGTGTGCATTCATCTCACAGAGTTGAACTTTTCTTTTTATTGAGCAGTTTGGAAACAGTATTTTTGTAGAATCTGCAAGTTGATATTTGGAGCACTTTGAGGCCTATGGTGGAAGAGGACATATCTTCCCTTAAAAACTAGACAGCAGCATTTTGAGAAACTTCTTTGTGATGTGTGCATTCATCTCACAGAGTTGAACCATTATTTTGATTGATTAGTTTGGAAACTGTCGTCTTGTAGAATCTGCAAAGGGATGTTTGTATGCCCATTGAGGCTTCTGGGGAAATAGAAAATACCTTCACATAAAAGCTAGACAGATACTCTCTGAGAAATTTATTTGTCATGTGTGACTTCATCTCACTGTGTTGAAACTTTCTCTTGATTGAGCAGTTTGGAAACAGTCTTTTTGTAGAATCTGCAAATGGATATTTGGAGTGCTTTTGTCCTATGTTGAAAAACGAAACATCTTCCCATAAAAACTAGGCAGAAGCTTTCTGAGAAACTTCTTTGCACTGTGTGCATTCATCTCACAGAGTTGAACTTTTCTTTTGATTGAGCAGTGTGAAAACACTTTTTGTAGGATCTGCAAGTGGATATTTGGAACGCTTTGCAGCCTATAGTGGAAAGGGAAATATGTTCACATAAAAACCAAACAGAAGAATTCTGAGAAACTTCCTTGGAATGTGTGCATTCATCTCACAGTGTTGAACCATTCTTTTGATTGAGCAGCTTTGAACAGTCGTTTTGTAGAATATGCAAAGGAATATTTGTGAGCCCATTGAGGCCTCTGTGGAAATAGGAAATATCTTCACATAAAAACTAGACAGAATCTTTCTGAGAAACTTCTTTGTGATGTGTGCATTCATCTCACTGAGTTGAACTTTCTTTTGATTGAGTAGTTTGGAAACAGTCTTTTTGTAGTATCTGCAAATGGATATTTGAAGGGCTTTGAGTCCTATGGTGAAAAAGGAAATATCTTAACATAAAAACCAGACAGAAGCATTCCTAGAAACTACTTCATTATGTGTGCATTCATCTCATGGTGTTGTACCTTTCTTTTGATTGAACAGTTCTGAAACATACTTTTTGCAGAATCTGCCAGGGGATACTTGGAGCGCGATGAGGCCTATGGTGGAAAAGGAAATATCTTCATATAAAAACTAGACAGAAGCATTCTGAGAAACTTCACTGTGATGTATGCATTCATTACACCGAGTTGAACCTTTCTTTTCATTGAGCAATTTGGAAAACATCGTTTTGTAGAATCTACAGAGGGATATTTGTGAGCCCATTGAGGCCTGTGGGGCGATAGGAAATATCTTCATATAAAAACTAGACAGAAACTTTCTGAGAAACTTGTTTGTGCTGTGTGTTTTCAACTCACAGAGATGAGGCTTTCTTTTCATTGAGCAGTTTGAAAACACTCTTTTTGTAGAATCTGCAAGTGGATATTTGGAGCGATTTGTGGTCTATGGTGGAAAAGGAAATATCTTCAAATAAAAACGAGACAGAAGCATTGTGAGAAACTTCTTTGTGATGTGTGCATTCATTTCACAGAGTTGAATCTTTCTTTTGACTGAGCAGTTTGGCAACACTCTTTTTGTAGTATCTGCAAATGGATATTAGCAGCAATTTGAGACTTATGGTAAAAAAGGAAATATCTTCCCATAAAAACTTCCCAGAAGCATTTTGAGAAACTTCTTTGTGATGTGTGCATTTATCTCACAGAGTTAAACATTTCTTTTTATGAAGCAGTTTGGAAACAGTCTTCTTGTAGTATCTGCAAATGATAATTTGAGTGCTTTGAGGCCTATGTTGGAAAACGAAATATCCTCACATTAAAACTAGACTGAAGCTTTCTGGGAAACTTCTTTGTGTTGTGTGCATTCATCTCACAGTGTTGAACCTTTCTTTTGATTGAGCAGTTTAGAAACACTCTCTTTATAGTATCTGCAAATGGATATTTGGAGCGCTTTGAGGCCTATAGTGGAAAAGGAAATATCTTCACATAAAATCTAGAAAGAAGAATTCTGAGAAAATTCCTGGTGATGTATGCTTTCATCTCACACTGGTGAACCTTTCTTTTGATTGTGCAGCTTCGGTACATTCATTTTGTAGAATCTGAAAGGGAATATTTGTGGGCCCATTGAGGCCTCTGGGGAAATAGGTAATATCTTCACATAAAAACCAGATCAAAATTTCTGAGAAACTTTCTTGTGATATGTGCATTGATCACACAGAGTTGAACTTTCTTTTGATTGGGTAGTTTATAAACAGTCATTTGTAGTATCTGCAAATGGATATTTGGAGTGTATTGAGGCCTATGGTGAAAAAGGAAATATCTTCACATAAAAATCAGAAGCATTCTGGGAAACTTCTTTGTGATGTGTGCATTCATCTCACAGGCTTCAACCTTTCTTTTGATTGAGCAGTTTTGAAACAGTCTTTTTTTACAATCTGTAAGTGGCTATTTGGAGCACTTTGATTCCTATAGTGGAAAACAAAATATCTTCACATAAAAATTAGACAGAAGCATTCTGCGAAACTTCTTCCTGATATGTGCATTCATCTCACAGGGATGAGAGTTTCTTTTGATTGAGCAGTTTGGAAAGAGTCGTTTTGTAAAATCTACAAAGGGATATTTGTGAGCCCATTGAGGCCTCTGGGGAAATAGGAAATATATTCACATAAAAACTAGACAGAAGCTTTCTGAAAAACTTCTTAGTGATATGTGCTTTCATCTCACAGATTTGAATCTTTCTTTTGATTGAGCAGTTTGGAAACAGTCTTTTTGTACAATCTGCAAATGGATACTTGGAGCGTTTTGAGGCCTATGGTGAAAAAGGAAATATCTTCACATTAAAACTAAACAGAAGCTTTCTGAGAAACTTCTTTTTGATGAGTACGTACATCTCACAGAGTTGAACCTTTCTTTTGATTGAGCAATTTGGAAACAGTCTTTTTGTACAATCTGCAAAGGGATACTTCTGCGAAGTTTGAGGACTGTGGTGAAAAAGAAATATGTTCAGATAAAACCAGACAGAAGTATTCTGAGAAACTTCTTTGTGATGTATCCATTCATCTCAGAGAGTTAAACCTTTCCTTTGATGGAGTAGTTTGGAAACAGTCTTTTTGTAGTACCTGCAGAGGGATATGTGAGAGCAGTTTAAGGCCTATGGTGAAAAAGGAAATATCTTCACATAAAAACTAGACAGAGGATTTCTGAGAAACTTCTTTGTGATATGTGCTTTCATCTCACAGAGTTGAACCATTCTTTTCGTTGAGCAGTTTGGAAACAGTCTTTTTGTAGGATCTGCAAAGGGATATTTCTGTTCCCATTGATACCTATGGTGAAAAAGGACATATCTTCACATAAAAACTAGACTGAAGCTTTCTGATAAACTTCTTAGTGATGTGCGCTTTCATGTCACAGATTTGAGACTTTCTTTTGATTGAACAGTTTGGAAACAGTCTTTTTGCAGAATCTGAAAATGGATATTTGGAGCACTTTGAGGCCTATGGTGAAAAGCGAAATATCTTCACATGAAAAATAAACAGAAGCTTTCTGAGAAGCTTCTTTTTGATGCGTGCATACATCTCACAGAGTTGAAAGTTTCTTTTCATTAAGCAGTTTGGAAACAGTCTTTTTGTACAATCTGGAAAGGGATATTTCTGAGAAGTTGGAGGCCTATATCGAAAAAGAAATATCTTCACATAAAAACTAGACAGAAGTATTCTGAGAAACTTCTTTGAGATGTATCCTTTCATCTCACAGAGTTGAACCTTACTTTTGACTGAGCAGTTTGGAGACAGCCTTTTGGAGTATCTGCAGAGGGATATCTGAGAGCAGTTTAAGGCATATGGTGAAAAAGGAAATATCTTCACATAAAAACTAGGCAGAAGCATTCTGAGAAACTTGTTTGTGATGTGTGCATTCAACTCAAAGAGGTGAAACTTTCTTTGGATTGAGCAGTTTGGAAACAGTCCTTTTGCAGAATCTGCAAAGGGATATTTTTCAGCCCATTGAGGCCTATGGTGAAATAGGAAACATCTTCTCATAAAAACCAGACAGAAGCTTTCTGAGAAATTTCTTTGAGATGTGTGCTTTCATCTCACAGAGTTGAACCTTTCTTTTGGTTCAGCAGTTTGGAAACAGTCTTTCTGTAGAATCTGAAAAGGGCTATTTTTGAGCCGTTTCTGGACTATGGTGAAACAGAAAATATCTTCACATAAAAACAAGGCAGAAGCTTTCTGAGAAACTTCTTTATGATGTGTTCTTTCATCTCAGAGAGTTGTAACTTTTCTTTGATTGAGCAGTTTGGAAACACTCTTTTTGAAGGATCTGCAAATGGATATTTGGAGCTCTTTGAGGCCTATGGTGAAAAAGGAAATATCTTCACATAAAAACTAGACAGAAGCATTCTGAGAAACTTCTTTGTGATGGGTGCATTCAACTCAAAAAGTTGAACATTTGTTTTCATTGAGTAGTTTGGAAACCGTATTTTTGTAGAATCCGCAAGTGGATATTTGGAGCACTTTACGGCCTATAGTGGAAAACGAAATATCTTCATATAAAAACTAGACAGAAACATTCTGGCAAACTTCTTTGTGATGTGTGCATTCATCACAAAGAGTTGAACATTTGTTTTCATTGAGTAGTTTGGAAACCGTATTTTTGTAGAATCTGTGAAGGGATATTTCTCAGCCCATTGATGCCTACAGATGAAATAGGAAATATTCTCACATAAAAACTAGACAGAAATTTCTGAGAAACTTCTTTGTGATACGTGGTTTCATCTCACAGAGTTGAACTGTTCTTTTGGCTGAGCAGTTTGGAAACACTCTTTTTGTAGAATCTGCAAGTGGATATTTGGAGCACATTGAAGCCTATGGTGGAAAATGAATTGTTTTCACATAAAAATTAGACAGAAGCATTCAGAGAAACTTCGTTGTGATGTGTGCATTCAACCCACAGAGTTAAACCTTTCTTTGATTCAGCAGTTTTGAAACACTCTTTTTGTAAAATCTGCCAGTGGATCTTTGGAGCGCTTTGAGGCCTATTGTGGAAAAGGAAATATCTTCACATAAATAGTACACAGAAGCATTCTGAGAAACTTCTTTGTGATGTGTGCATTCAACTCAAAGAGTGGAATCCTTTTGATTCAGCAGTTTTGAAAGACTCCTTTTGTAGAATCTGCAAGTGGATATTTGGAGCGCAATGTTGCCTTAAGTGGAAAAGGCAATATCTTCACATAAAAACTAGACAACAGCATTCTGAGAAACTTCTTTGTGATGTGTGCATTCATCTCACAGAGTTGAAGCTTTCTTTTGATTGAGTAGTTTTGAAACACTCTTTTTGTGGAATCTCCAATTAGATACTTGGAGCGCTTTGAGGCCTATGGTGGAAAAGGAAATATCTTCATATGAAAACTACACAGAAGCATTCTGAGAAATTTGTTTGTGATGTGTGCCTTCAACACACAGAGTTGAACCTTTCTTTTGATTGAGCTGTTTTGAAACACACTTTTTTAGGATCTACAAGTGGATATTTGGAACGCTTTGTGGACTATTGTGGAAAAGGATATATCTTCACATAAAAAGTATGGAGAAGCATTCTGAGAAACTTCTTTGTGATGTGTGCATTCATCTCACAGAGTTCAACCTTTCTTTTGATTGAGCAGTTTTGAAATGCTCTTTTTGTAGAGTGTGCAAGTGGATATTTGGAGCTCTTTGAGTCTTATAGTGGACAAGGTAATATCTTCACATAAAAACTAAAGAGAAGCATTCTGACAAAGTTCTTTGTGCTGTGTGTGTTCAACTCACAGAGTTGAACCTTTCTTTTGACTGAGCAGTTTTGAAATGCCCTTTTTTTAGAATCTGCAAGTGGATATTTTGAGTGCTTTACGGCCTCTGTTGGAAAAGGAAATATCTTCACATAAACCAGACAGAAGCATTCTGAGAAACTTCCTTGTGATGTGTGCATTCGTCTCACAGAGTTGAACCTTTCTTTTGATTGTGAAGTTTTCAAACACTCTTTTTGTAGAATCTGCAAGTGGATATTTTGTGGCCTTTGTGGCCTATAGGGGAAAAGAAAATATCTTCACATAAAAATTAGACAGAAGCATTCTGAGAAACATCTTTGTGATATGTGCATTCATCTCATAGAGTTGAAATTTTCTTTTTATTGACCAGTTTTGAAACACCCTTTTTGTATAGTCTGCAAGTGGATATTTGTAGTGCTTTGAGGCATATGGTGGAAAATGAAATATTTTCACATTAAAATTAAACAGAAGCATTCTGTGGTACTTCTTTGTGATGTGTGCCTTCTTCTCACAGAGTTGAACCATTCTTTTGATTGAGCAGTTTTGAAATACTGTTTTTGTAGAATCTGCAAGTGGTTATTTGGAGCGCTTTGTGGCCTATAGTGGAGAAGGAAATATCTTTATATAAAAACTAGAGAGAACCATTCTGAGAAAGTTCTTTGTGATGTGTGCATTCAACTCACAGAGTTGAACCTTTCTTTTGATTGAGCAGTTTTGAATGTCTCTTTTTGTCGAATCTGCAAATGGATATTTGGAGTGCTTTAAGGCCTATGGTGGAAAAGGAAATATCTTCACATAAAAACTACCGAGAAGCAGTCTGAGAAACTTCTTTGTGATGTGTGCATTCAACTCACAGTGTTCAACCTTTCTTTTGATTGAGCAGTTTTGAAACACTCTTTTTGTAAAATCTGCCAATGGATATTTGGAGCACTTTGAGGCCTGTAGTGGAAAAGGAAATATCTTCACATAAATAGTAGACAGAAGCATTTTGAGAAACTTCTTTGTGATGTGTGCATTCAACTCACATAATGGAACCCTTCTTTTGATAGAGCAGTTTTGAAAGACTCCTTTTGTAGAACCTACAATTGGATATTTGGAGCGCTTTGTGGCCTTAAGTGGAAAAGGCAATATCTTTGCATAAAAACTAAATAGAAGCATTCTGAGACATTTCTTTGTTATGTGTGCATTCATCTCACAGAGTTAAAGCTTTCTTTTGATTGAGCAGTAGTGAAACACTCTTTTTGTAGAATCTGCAAGTGGATATTTGGAGCACTTTGCAGTCTATAGTGGAAAAGGAAATATCTTCACATAAATATTTGTCAGAAGCATTCTGAGAAACTTCTTCTTCACGTGTGCATTCATCTCACAGAGTTCAACCTTTCTTTTGATTGAGCAGTTTTGAAACGCTCTTTTTGTAGTATCTGCAAAGGGATACTTGGAGTGGTTTGAGGTCTATGGTGTAAAAGGAAATATCTTCACCTAAAAACTAGACAGAAGCATTCTGAGAAACTTCTTTGTGGTGTGTGCATTCATGTCACTGTCTTGATCCATTTTTTTGACTGAGCAGTTTTGAAACACTCTTTGTGTAGAATCTGCAAGTGAATATTTGGAGCGCTTTGAGGTCTATGGTGGAAAAGGAAATGTCTTCACATAAAAACTAGAGAGAAGCATACTGAGAAAATTCTTTGTGATATGTGTATTCATCTCACAGAGCTGCACCTTTCTTTTGATTGAGCAGTTTTGAAACACTCTTTTTATAGAGTGTGCAAGTGGATATTTGGAGCGCTTTGATGCTTACGGTGGAAAAGGAAATATCTTCACATAAAAACTACAGAGAAGTATTCTGACAAAGTTCTTTATGCTGTGTGCGTTCAACTCACAGAGTTGAACCTTTCTTTTGATTGAGCAGTTTTGAAACAATCTTTTTTTAGAATCTGCAAGTGGATATTTTGAGAGCTTTGCGACCTCTGCTGGAAAAGGTAATATCTTCACATAAACTAGACAGAAGCATTCTGAGAAATTTCCTTGTGATGTGTCCCTTAATTTCACAGAGTTGAACATTTCCTTTGATTGAGCAGTTCTGAAACACTCTTTTTGTACAATCTGCAAGTGGATATTTGAGGCGCTGTGTGGCCTCTGGTGGAAAAGGAAATATCTTCACATAAAAACTAGACAGAAGCATTCTGAGAAACTTCTTCATGATGTGTGCATTCACCTCACAGAGTTGAACCTTTCCTTTGATTGAGCAGTTTTGAAACACTCTTTTTGCAGAATCTGCAAGTGGATATGTGGAGCACTTTGAGGCCATGATAGAAAAGGAAATATCTTCACATAAGAACTAGACAGAATCATTCTAAGATACTACTTTGTGATGTGCACATTCATCTCACAGAGTTGAACATTTCTTTTGATTGAGCAGTTTTGAAACACTGTTTTTGTAGAATCAGCAGTTGCATATTTAGAGTGCTTTGAGACCTATTGTGGAGAAGGAAATATCTTCACATAAAAACTAGACAGAAGCATTCTGAGAAACTTTTTTGTGATGTGTGCATTCAACTCACCGAGTTGAACATATCTTTATATTGAGCAGTTAGGATACATTCTTTTTGTACCGTCTTCAAATTTGTATTTGGACAGCTTTGAGGCCTATAGTGGAAAAGGAAATATCTGCACATAAAAACTAGACAGAAACACTTGTAGAAACTTCTTTGTGATGTGTGCATTCATCTCACAGAGTTGAACCATTCTTTTGATTAAGCAGTTTTGAAACACTCTTTTTGTAGGATCTGCAAGTGGATATTTGGATCACTTTGAGGCATATGGTGGAAAAGAATAAATCTTCCCATAAAAACTAGCGAGAAGCATTCTGAGAAACTTCTTTGTGATGTGCGTATTAAACTCACAGAGCTGAACCTTTATTTTGATTAAGCAGTTCTGAAACACTTTTTGTAGAATCTGCAATTGGATATTTGGATCGCTTTGCAGCCTCTTGTGGAAAAGGAAATATCTTCACATAAAAACTACAGGGAATCATTTTGAGAAACTTCTTTGTGATGTGTGCTTTCACCTCGCAGAGTTGAACCTTTCTTTTGGTTGAGCAGTTTTGAAACACTCTTTTTGTAGAATCTGCAAGTGGATATTTAGAGCGCTTTGACGCCTATGGTGGAAAAGGAAATATCTTCACTTGAAAAATAGACGGAAGCATTCTGAGAAACTTCTTTGTGTTGTGGGCATTCATTTCACAGAGTTGGACTTTGTTTTTGTTGAGCAGTTTGGAAACTCTCTTTTTGTAGAGTCTGCCATTGGATATTTGGAGCGCTGTCAATCCTATGGTGGAAAAGGTCATATTTTCACATAAGAACTATAAAGCAGGTTTTCTAAAAACAACCTTGTGATGTGTGCATTCATCTCACAGAAGTAAGTGTTTCTTTTCTGCGATCAGTCTGGAAACTCTGTTCTTGTACAATCTCAAAGGGGGTATTTTTGAGCACTTTGAGGCCTATTGTGACAAAGGAAATATCTTCACATTCAACGCATAAAGAACGTTTCTGAGATACTTCTTTGTGATATGTGCATTCATCTCCCAGATTTGAACGTCTCTTTTAATTCAGCCGTTTGGAAACAGTCTTTTTGAAGAATCTGCAAACGGATATTTGTTAGCACTTTGAGGCCTATGCAGGAAAAGAAGTATCTTCACAGAAAAATATAAAGAAGGTTTCTGGGAAACTGTTTTTTGATGTCTGCATTCATTTCACAGAGGTAAACAATTCTTTTCTTGATCAATTGGGAAACTCTGTTCTTGTAGGATCTGCTAAGGGACATTTTTGAGTGCCTAGAGCCCTGTGGTGAAAAAGATATTGTCTTCACATAAAAACTAGACAGAGGCCTACTGAAAAACTTCTTGGTGATGTGTGCATTCATCTCACAGAATTGTAACTTTCTTTTGATTAAGCAGTTTAGAAACGTCTTTTGTGGAATCTGTAAAGGGATATTTCTGGTCACTTTGAGGACTATGGTGAAAGAGAAAGTATCACCTACTGAGAAACTTCTTGGTGATGTGTGCATTCATCTCACAGAATTGAAACTTTCTTTTGATTAAGCAGTTTGGAAATGTCTTTTTGTGGAATCTGTAAGGGGAAATTTCTGAGCACTTTGAGGCCTATGGTGAAAGAGAAAGTATCTTCACGTAAAAACTATACTAAAGATTTCTGAGAAACTGCTTTGTGATGTATGTATTCATCTCCCAGAGTTCAACAATTCTTTTGATTGAGCGGTTGGGAACCCATCTTTTTGTAGAATCTGCAAAGGGATATTTGTGAGCACTTTGAGGTCTATGGTTAAAAGGAAATATCTTCACATAAAAACTATAAAGAAGGTTTGTGAGAAACTTCTTTATGATGTGTGCATTCATCTCACAGAGTTGAACCACTCCTTTGACTCAGCGGTTTGGAAACAGTCTTTTTTAGGATCTGCAAAGGGATATTTTTGAGCACTTTGAGGCCCATGGTGAAAAAGGAAACACTTTCACATAAAAACAAGATAGAAGCTTTCTGAGAATCATCTTTTTGATATGTGCATTCATCCCACAGAGGTGAACCTTTCTTTTGATGAGCATTTTGGAAGCAGTATTTGGTAGAATTTCCAAAGGGTTATTCGTTAGTGTTTTGTTTCCTATGTTGGAAAACGAATTATTTTTGCATAAAAACTAGACAGAATATTTCTGAGAAACTGCCTTGTGATGTGTGCTTTCATCTCAAAGAGGTAACCATTTCTTTTCATTGAACAGATTGGAAATTCTGTTCTTGTAAAATCTGCAAAGAGATATTTGTCAGCACTTTGAGGCCTATGGTGAAAAAGGAATTATCTTCACATAAAAACTAGACAGAAGCTTTCTGTGAAATATCTTGGAGACGCGAGAATTCGTCTCACAGAGTTGAAACATTCTTTTGATTGGGCAGTTTGTAAACAGTGTTTTGGTAGAATCTGCAAAGGGATATTTGTGATGCTTTGAAACCTATGGTGAAAACGAAATATTTTCACATGAAAACTAGAGAGAAGCTTTCTGAGAAACCTTGTGATGTGTGCATTCATCTCACAGATTTGAAACTTTCTTTGGATTAAGCAATTTGGAAACAGTATTTTTGTAGAATCTGTAAAGTCATATTTTTGAATGGTATGAGGCCTATGATGAAATAGGAAATATCTTCAAATAAAAACTAGACAGAAGCTTTCCGAGAAACTTCTTTGTGATATGTGCATTCATCTCATAGAGTTCAACCATTCTTCTGATTGAACAGTTTGGAAACACTCTTTTTGTAGAATCTGCATAGGGATATTTATGAGTGCTTTGAGGCCTACGGTGAAAAAGGAAATGTATTCACATAAAAAGTATAAACAAGGTTTCTCAGAAAGAGCTTTGTGATGTATGCGTTCATCTCAAAGAGGTAAACGTTTCTTTTCTCTGATCTGTCTGGAAACTGTTCTTGTAGATTCTGCAAAGGGATATTTGTGAGTGCTTTGAGGCCTATGGTGAAAAACAAAATATCTTCACATAAAAATTAGAGAGAGGTTTTCCAAGAAACCTCTTTGTGATGTGGGCATTCATCTCACAAAGTTGAAACTTACTTTTGATTGATTAGTATGGAAACCATCTGTTTGTAGAATCTGCAAAGGGACATTTATGAGAGCTTTGAGGCCAATGGTGAAGAAGGAAATATATTTATATAAAAGGTATAAAGAAGGTTTCTTAGAAAGAGATTTGTGGTGTGAGCATTGATCTCAGAGAGGTAAACGTTTATTTTCTATGATCAGTCTGGAAACTCTGTTCTTGTAGAATCTGCAAAGGGATATTTGTGAGTGCTTTGAGGCCTATGATGAAAAAGGAAATATCTTCACATAAAAACTAGACAGAAGCTTTCTTTGCGGCTTCTTTGTGGTGCGTGCAATCATCTCACAGAGTTGAACCATTCTTTTGATTGAGCAGTATGGAAACAGTATTTTTTGCAGAATCTGCAAGGGATATTTGTCACGACTTGGAGTGCTATGGTGAAAAAGGAAATATCTTCACATAAAAAATGGACAGAAGATTTCTGAGAAACCTCTTTGAGATGTGTGCATCCATCTCACAGAGTTCAACCATTTATTTGATTGAGCAGTTGGGAAGCAGTCTTTTTGCAGAATCTACAAAGGGATATTGCTGAGCAATTTGAGACCTGTGTTGAAAAAGAAAATATCTTCACATAAAAACTATAAAGAAGGTTTCTGAGAAACTTCTTTGTGATGTGTGCATTCATCTCACTCAGTTCAACCTTTCTTTTGATTGAGCATTTTGGAAACAGTCTTTTTAAATATTCTTCAAGTGGATACTTGTGAGCAACTTGAGGCTCATGGGGAAAAAGTAAACATTCACATAAAAACTTAATAGAAGCTTTCTGAGAAACTACTTTTTGACGTGTGCAATCATCTCACACAAAAGAAAAGTTGAACCTTTCTTTTGATGAGCAGTGTGGAAACAATCTTTTTGTAGAATCTGCAAAAGGACAATTTTGAGCACTTTGCATCCTGTGGTGGAAAAGGAGACGCCTTCACATAAAAACTAGACAGAATATTTCTCAGAAACTGCTTTGTGATATGTGCATTCATCTCCCAGATGTGTCTGTTTCTTTTCATTGAGAAGATTGATAACTCTTTTTTTGTAAGATCTGCAAAGGGATATTTGTGAGCCCTTTGAGGTGTATGGTGAAAAAGGAAATATCTTCACATAAAAACTACACAGAAGCTTTCTGAGAAACATCCTGGTGATGTGAGCATTCGTCTCACAGAGTTGAAACATTCTTTTGATTGAGCAATGTGTAAAGAGTCTTTTTGTAGAATCTGCAAAGGGATATTTGTGAATGCTTTGAGGCCTATGGTGAAAAAGGAAATATCTTCACATAAAAACTAGAAAGAAGCTTTCTGAGAAACCTCTTTGTGGTGTGCATACATCTCACACAGTTGAACCTTTCTCTTGATTGAGCAATTTGGAAGAAGTATTTTTGTAGAATCTGTAAAGGGATATTTGTGAGCACTTTGAGGCCTATGGTGAAAAACTAGACAGAAGCATTCTGAGAAACAGCTTCGTGATGTGTGCATTCATCACACAGAGTTGAACCTGTGTTTTGATTGAGCCGTTTGGAAACAGACTTTTTGTAGACTCTGCAAACGGATATTTGGAGTATTTTGAGGCCTATCGTGAAAAAGGAAATATATTCACATAAAAACTAGACTGAAGGATTCTGAGAAACTTCTTTGAGCTGTGTGCATTCATCTGGCAGTGTTCAATAATTCTTTTTATTGAGCGGTTTAGAAACAGTCTTTTTGTAGAATCTGCAAAGGGATATTTGTGAGGGCTTTGAGGCCTATGTTGAAAAAGGAAATATCTTCACAGAAAAACCATAAAGAAAGTTTCTGAGAAACTTCTTTGGATGTGTGCATTCATCACACAGAGTTGAAACATTCTTTGGATTGAGCAGTTTGCAAATAGTCTTTTTGTAGAATCTGCAGAGGGATATTTGTAGCGCTTTGAGGCCTATGGTGAATAAGGAAATATCTTCAAATAAAAACTAGACAAAAGTTTCCTGAGAAACTTTTTGTGATGTGTGCATTTATCTCATAGAGTTTAACATTTGTTTTGATTGAGCAGTCTGGAAACAGTCTTTTGGTACAATCTGCAAAGGGATATTTAGCAGCAAGTTGAGGCCTATGGTGGAAAAGGAAATATCTTCACATAAAAACTAGAAAGAAGCATTCTGAGAAGCTGCTTTAAGATATGTGTACTCATCTCACAGATGTAAACATTTCTTTTCATTGAGCAGTTTGTAAACTCTGTTATTCTAGAGTCTGCAAAGGGATATTTTTGAGTGCTTTGAGACCCATGTTGAAAAAAGAACTATCTTCACATAAAAACTAGTGAGAAGCTTGCTGAGGAACTACTTTCTGATGTGTGCATTCATCTAACAGAGTTGAAACTTTCTTTTGATTGAGCAGTTTGGAAACAGTCTTTTTGTAGATTCTGCAAAGTTATATTTGGGAGTGCATTGAGGCCTATGTTCAAAAAGGAAATGTCTTCACATAAAACTGAGAAGGAAGTTTTCTGAGAAACTTCTTTGTGATGTGCACATTCGTCTCACAGGGTTGAACCATTCTGTTTATTGAGCAGTTTCAAAACAGTCTTTTTGTAGAATCTGCAAAGGGCTATCTGCGAGTGCATTGAGGCTTATGGTGAAAAAGGAAATATCTTCACATTAAAAATAGAAAGAAGTTTTCTGAGTAACTCTTTTGTGACATGTGCATTTATCACAGAGCAGTAAAAATTTCTTCCCATTGAGCAGTTAGTTTTTATGTGAAGATATTTTCGTTTTCACCATAGACCTCAAACCGCCTACATATATCTCTTTGCAGATTCTACAAAAATACTGTTTCCAAACTGCTCAATCAAAGAAAGCTTCCACCCTGCGAGATGAATACACACATCACAGAGAAGTTTCTCAGAAAATTTCTGTATAGTTTTTATTTGTTGATATTCTCTTTTTCACCATAGGCCTCAATCCGCTCATGAATAACTCTTTGAAGATCTACAAAAAGACTGTTTCCAAACTGCTCAATCAAAGAAAGCTTCCACTCTGTAAGATGAATGCACACATCACAGAGAAGTTTCTCAGAAAGTTTCTGTATAGTTTTTATTTGTTGATACTCCCTTTTTCACCATAGACCTCAAACCGCTCATAAATAACCCTTTGCAGATTCTACAAAAAGACTGTTTCCAAACTACTCAATCAAAAGAAAGCTTCAACTCTGTGAGGTGAATGCACACATCACAAAGAAGTTTCTCAGAAAGCTTCTTTCTAGTATTTATTTGAAGATGTTTCCTTTTTCAATATAGGCCTCAAAGTGCTCACAAATGTCCCTTTACAGATTTTACAAAAAGACTGTTACCAAACTGCTCAACTGAAACAAAGCTTCAACTCTTTGAGATGAATGCACACATCACAAGAAGTTTCTCAGAAAGCTTCCATCCAGTTTTTATGTGAAGATATTTCCTTTTTCACCATAAGTCTCAAAGCATTCAAATTATCACTTTCAGATTCTACAAAAAGACATTTTCCAATCTGCTCTATCTAAAGAAAGGTTTAACTCTGTGAGAAGAATGCACACATCAAAAATAAGTTTCTCAGAATGCTTCTGTCTAGTTTTTATCTGAAGACATTTCCTTTTTCACCATAAACCAAAAAGGGATCCCAAATATCCCTTTGTACATTCTACAAAGGACTGTTTCCAAACTGCTCAATCCAAAGACAGGTTCAACTTTTGGGATGAATGCACACATCACAACGAAGTTTCTCAGAAAGCTTCTGTCTCGTTTTTGTGTGAAGATATTACTTTTTTGAACATAGGCTTCAAAGGGTTCACAAATATCGCAAAGCAGATTCTACAAAAAGACTCTATCCAAACTGGTCAAGGAAAAGAACACTTCAAATCTGTGAGATGAATGTGCACATCTCAAAGAATTTTCTCAGAAAGCTTCTGTCTAGTTTTCATGTGAAGATATTTCCGTTTTCACCATAGACCTGATAACCCTTTGCAGATTCTACAAAAAGACTGTTTCCAAACTGCTCAATCAAAGGAAGCTTCTACTCTGTGAGATGAATTCACACGTCACAGAGAAGTTTCTCAGAAAGTTTCTGTCTAGTTTTTATTTGTCGATACTCCCTTTTTCACCATAGGCCTCAAACTGCTCATAAATAACCGTTTGCAGATTCTACAGAAGGACTATTTCCAAACTGCTCAATCAAATGAAAGTTCAGCTGTGTGAGATGAATGCACACATCAAAAAGAAGTTTCTCAGACGTTTCTGTCTAGTTTTTATGTGAAGATACTTCTTTTTCACCATAAGCCTCAAAGCGTTCCCAAATTTTCCCTTGCAGATTCTATGAAAAGACTGTTTCCAAACTGCTCAATCAAAAGAAAGGTTCAACTCTGTGTGATGAATGCACACATCACAACGAAGTTTCCCAGAAGGCTTCTGTCTAGATTTTACTTGTGGATATTTCCTTTTTCACAATAGGCCTCAGAAAGCTCACAAATATCACTTTGCATATTCTACAAAAAGAGTGTTTCCAATCTGCTCAATGAAAGAAAATTCAACTCTGTGAGATGAATGTATGCATTGCAAAGTGGTTTCTCAGAATGCTTCTGTCTAGTTTTTATATGAAGATATTTCCTTTTTCATCACATGCCTCAAACCACTCAAAAACATGCCTTTGCAGATTCTCCAAAAAGACTGTTTCCAAACTGCTCAATCAAAAGAAAGATTCAAGTCTTTGAGATGCATACCCCCATCACAAAGAAGTTTCCGAGAAAACATGAGTTTAGTTTTTATGTGAAGATATTTCCTTTTTCACCATAAGCCTCAAAGCGTTCACAAATATCACTTTGCAGGTTCTACGAAAAGACTGTTTCCAAACTGATCAATCAAAGGAAGTTTCAACCCTGTGAGATGAATGCACACATCACAAAGTAATTCTTCAGAAAGCTGCTGTCTACATTTTATTTTTCGACATTTCCTTTTTCACCATTGGATTCAAACCACTGAAACATATCACTTTGCAGATTCTACAAAAAGACTGTTTCCAAACTGCCCAATCAAAAGAAAGGTTCAACTCTGTGAGATGAATGAACACATCACAAAGAAGTTTCACAGGTAGCTCTTATTATTTTGAGATACGTCCCATCAATACCTAATTTATTGAGAGTTTTTAGCATGAAGGGTTGTTGAATTTTGTAAAGGCCTTTTCTGCATCTATTGAGATAATCATGTGGTTTTTGTCTTTGGTTCTGTTTATATGCTGGATTACATTTATTGATTTGTGTATATTGAACCAGCCTTGCATCCCAGGGATGAAGGCCACTTGATCATGTTGGATAAGCTTTTTGATGTGCTGCTGGATTCGGTTAGCCAGTATTTTATTGAGGATTTTTGCATCAGTGTTCATCAAGGATATTAGTCTAAAATTCTCTTTTTTGGTTGTGTCTCTGCCCGGCTTAGGTATCAGGATGGTGCTGGCTTCATAAAATGAGTTAGGGAGGATTCCCTCTTTTTCTATTGATTGGAATAGTTTCAGAAGGAATGGTACCAGTTCCTCCTTTTACCTCTGGTAGAATTCGGCTGTGAATCCATCTGGTCCTGGACTCTTTTTGGTTGGTAAGCTATTGATTATTGCCACAATTTCAGAGCCTGTTATTGGTCTATTCAGAAATTCAACTTCTTCCTGGTTTAGTCTTGAGAGGGTGTATATGTCGAAGAATTTATCCATTTCTTCTAGATTTTCTAGTTTATTTGCATAGAGGGGTTTGTAGTATTCTCTGATGGTAGTTTGAATTTCTGTGGGATCGGTGGTCATATCCCCCTTATCATTTTTTATTGCATCTATTTGATTCTTCTCTTTTTTCTTCTTTGTTAGTCTTGCTAGTGGTCTATCAATTTTGTTGATCCTTTCAAAAAACCAGCTCCTGGATTCATTAATTTTTTGAAGGGTTTTTTGTGTCTCTATTTCCTTCAGTTCTGCTCTGATTTTAGTTATTTCTTGCCTTCTGCTAGTTTTTGAATGTGTTTGCTCTTGCTTTTCTAGTTCTTTAATTGTGATGTTAGGGTGTCAATTTTGGATCTTTCCTGCTTTCTCTTGTGGGCATTTAGTGCTATCAATTTCCCTCTAAACACTGCTTTGAATGTGTCCCAGAGATTCTGGTATGTTGTGTCTTTGTTCTCGTTGGTTTCATGCTGCTGTAAAAACACATGCACATGTATGTTTATTGTGGCACTATTCACAATAGCAAAGATTTGGAACCAACCCAAATGTCCAACAATGATAGACTGGATTAAGAAAATGTGGCACATATACACTATGGAATACTATGGAACCATAAAAATGATGAGTTCATGTCCTTTGTAGGGACATGGATGAAATTGGAAATCATCATTCTCAGTAAACTATCACAAGGACAAAAAATCAAACACCACATGTTCTCACTCATAGGTGAGATTTGAACAGTGAGAACACATGGACACAGGAAGGGGAACATCACACTCTGGGGACTGTTGTGGGGTGGGGGGAGGGGGGAGGGATAGCATTAGGAGATATACCTAATGCTAAATGATGAGTTAATGGGTACATGACACCAGCTTGGCACATGTATACATATGTAACTAACTTGCACATTGTACAGATGTACCCTAAAGCTTAAAGTATAATAAGAATAAAATAAAATAAAATAAAAAGAAAGTGCACAGCACAAAGAAGTTTCTCAGAAAATTTCTTTCCAGTTTTTATGTGAAGATATTTCCTTTTTCACCATAGTCTACAAAGTGCACCAAATATCTTTTGCAGATTGTACAAAAAGAGTTTTTGCAAACTGCTCAATCAAAAGAAAGGTTCAACTCTGTGAGATGAAAGCACAAATCACAAAGAAGTTACTCAGAATGCTTCTGTCTAGTTTTTAAGTGAAGGTATTTCCTGTTACACCATAGGCCTCAAAGGGCTCACAAATATCCTTTTGCAGATTCTACAAAAAGACTGTTACAGAACTGCTCAATGAAAAGTAAGTTTCAACTCTGTGAGATGAATTCACACCTAAAAAAGAAGTTTCTCAGAATGCTTCTGTCTAGTTTTTATGTGAAGATATTTCTTTGTCACCATAGGCCTGAAACCACTCAGAAATATCCCTATGCAGCTGTTACAAAAAGACTGTTTCCAAACTGCTCAATGAAAAGAAAAATTCTACTCTGTGAGATGAAAGCACATATCACAAAGAATTTTCTCAGAAAGTTTTTGTTTATCTTATATGTGAAGATATTTCCTCTTTCAGCATAGGCCTCAATGGGCTCAAAAATATCTCTTTTCAGATACTTCTAAAGGCCTCTTTCCAAACTGCTCAATCAAAAGAAAGTTTCAACTCTGTGAGATGAAAGCACACATCACAAATAAGTTTCTCAGACTGTTTGTCTAGTTTTTATGTGAAGATATTTCCTGTTTCACCATAGGCCATAAAGGTCTCACAAATATCCCTTTGCGGACTCTACAAAAAGACAGTTTCCAAACAGCTCAATCAAAAACAAAGGTTCAACTATGTGAGATGAATGGACACATCACAAAGAAGTTTCTCAGAAGGCTTCTGCCTAGTTTTTATGTGAAGGTATGTCTTTTTCACCGTAGGCCTCAAATGGCTAAGAAACATCCCTTTGAAGATTGCACAAAAAGACTGTTTCCAAATTGCTCAATGAAAAGACAGGTTCAACTCTGTGAGATGAATGCACACATCATAAAGAAGTTTCTCAGTATCCTTCTGTCTAGTTTTTATGTGAAGATATTTCCTTTTTCACCATAGGCTTTAAACGGCTCCCAAATATCCCTCTGCAGATACTACAAAAGGACTGCTTGAAAACTGTTCAATCAAAGGAAACCTTCATCTCTGTGAAATGAATGTACACATCACAAAGAAGTTTCTCAGAATGCTTCTGTCTAGTTTTTGCATGAAGATATTTCCTTTTTCACAACAGGCCTCAAAATGCTCCAAATATCCATTTGCAGATTCTACAAAAAGACTATTTCCAAACAGCTACATGAAAAGAAAGGTTCAACTCTGTGAGATAAATGCACACATGAAAAAGAAGTTTCTCAGAATGCTTCTGTCTAGTTTTTATCTGACATATTTATTTTTCACCATAGGCCTCAAATGGTTCAGAAATATCCCTTTGCATATTGTACAAAAAGACTGTTTCCAAACTGTCAAATGCAAAGAAAGGTTCAACTCTGTGAGATGAATGCAAACATCACAAAGAAGTTTATCAGAATGTATCTGTCTAGTTTTTATGTGAAGATAATTCCTTCTTCACAATAGGCCTCAAAGTGCTCCAAATATCCATTTGCAGATTCCACAAAAAGACTGTTTCCAAACGGCTCAATCACAAAAAAACGTTCAACTCTGTGAGATGAATGCACACATCATAAATAAGTTTCTCAGAATGCTTCTGTCTACTTTTGATGTGAAGATATTTCCTTTTTCACCATAGGCCTTAAACAGCTCCCAAATATCCCTCTGCAGATACAACAAAAAGGCTGCTTGAAAACTGTTCAATCAAAGGAAACCTTCATCTCTGTGAGATGAAACCACACATCACAAAGAAGTTCCTCATAATGCTTCTGTCTGGTTTTTATGTGAAGATATTTCATATTTCACCATAGGCCTCAACGAGCTCACAAATATTCCATTGCAGACTCTACAAAAAGATTGTTTTCAAACTGCTCCATGTAAAGAAAGGTTCAACTCTGTGAGACAACTGCACACATAAAAAAGAAGTTTCTCACAATTCTTCTGTCTAGTTTTTAAGTGAAGATATTCCTTTTTCACCATAGGCACCAAACCGTTCAGAAATATCCCTTTGTAGACTGTACAAAAAGACTGTTTCCAAAGTGTTCAATCAAAAGAAAGTTTCAAATCTGTTAGATGAAAGCACACATCACAAAGAAGTTCCTCATAATGCTTCTGTCTGGTTTTTATGTGAAGATATTTCTTTTTCACCATAGGCCTCAAACCCCTCAGAAATATCCCTTTGCAGATTGTAGATAAAGACAGTTTCCTAACTGCTCAATCAAAAGAACAGTTCAACTCTGTGAGATGAAACCACACATCACAAAGAAGTTTCTCAGAAATCTTCTGTCTAGTATTTATGTGAAGATATTTCCCTTCTAACGATAGGCCTCAAAGCAATCCAATTATCGATTTGCAGATTCTACAAAACACTGTTTCCAAACTGCTCAATCAAAAGAAATTTTCAACTCTGTGAGATGAAAGCACACATCACAAAGAAGTTCTTCAGAAAGCTTCTCACTAGATTTTATGTGAAGATATTTAGTTTTTCACCACAAGCCACAAAGTGCTCCAAATATCCTTTTGCAGATACTTCAGAAAGAAGTTTTCTAAACTGCTCAATCAAAAGAAAGTTTCAACTCTGTGAGATGAATGCAAACATCACAAAGAAGTTTCTCAGAATGCTTCTGTCTGGTTTTCCTGTGAAGATATTTCCCATTTCACATGGGCCTCAGTGGGATCACATATATCCTTTTCCAAATTCTACAAAAGACTGTTTCTGAATTTCTCAATGAAAAGAAAGGTTCACTCTGGGAGATGAATGCACACATGAATAAGAAGTTTCTCAGAATGCCTCTGTCTAGTTTTTGTGTTAAGATATTTGTTTTTCACCGTAGGCCTCAAACTGCTCAGAAACATCCCTTTGCAGATTGTACAAAAAGATGGTTTCCAAACTGCTCAATGAAAACAAAGGTTCAACACTGTGACATGAATACTCACATCACAGAGAAGTTTTTCAGAAAGCTTCTGTTTAGTTTTTAAGTGAAAATATTTCCTTTTTCACCATAGGCCTCAAAGCAATCCAAATATCCTTTTGCAAACTCTACAAAAAGAGAGTTTCCAAACTGTTCAATTAAAAGAAAGATTCAAATCTGTGAGAAGAAAGCACACATCATGAAGAAGTTTCTCATAATGCTTCTGTCTACTTTTTTTGTGAAGATATTTCCTATATCACCATAGGCCTCAAAGTTCTCACAAATATCCCTTTGCAGACTCTACAAAAGGTTTTTGAACTGCTAAATAAAAAGAAAGGTTCATCTCTGTGAGACGAATGCACACATAATAAATTAGTTTATCATAATGCTTCTGTCTAGTTTTTATATGAAGATATTTCTCTCTTGAAGGGCCTCAAATGACTCAGAAATATCCCTTTGCAGATTGTACAAAAAGACTGTTTCCAAACTGCTCAATCAAAAGAAAGGTTCAAACCGGTGAGATGAATGCACACATAAAAGAGGAGTTTCTCAGAAATCTGCTGTCTTGTTTTTATGTGAAGATATTACCTTTCTCAACATAGGCCTCAAAGCAATCCAAACATCCATTTGCAGATTCTACAAAAAGGCTGTTTCAAAACTGTTCAATCAAAACAAATTTTTACCTCTCTGAGATGAAAGCACACATCACAAAAATGTTACTCAGACAGCTTCTCTCTAGTATGTATGTGAAGATACTTCCTATTTCACCTGAGGCCATAAAGGGCTCACAAATATCCCTTTGAAGGTTTTACAAAAAGACTGTTTCCAAACTGCTCAATCAAAAGAAAGGTTCAACTCTGTGAGATGAATGGACACATCACAAAGAAATTTCTCGGAATGATTCTGTCTAGTTTTTATGTGAATATATTTCTCTTTCACCATAGGCCTCAAACGGATCAGAATTATTCCTTTGCAGATTGTACAATAAGCCTCTTTCCAACCTGCTCAATCAAAAGAAAGGTTCAACTCTGTGAGATGAATGGACACATCAAAAAGTAGTTTCTCAGAAAATTTCTGTTTAGTTTTTACATGAAGATATATCCTTTGTCACCATTGGCCTCAAAGTGCTCCTAATATCCATTTACAGATTTCACAAAAAGAGTGTTTCTAAACTGCTCAATCAAAAGAAAGTTTTAACTCTGTGAGATGAAAGCACACATCTCAAAGAAATTTCTCAAAAAGCTTTGGTCTAGTTTTCATGTGAAGATATTTCCAGTTTCACCATAGGCCTCAAAGGGCTAAGAAATATCCCTTTCCAGATTCTAAAAGACGACCATTTCCATACTGCTCAATCAAAAGAAAGCTTAAATTCTGTGAGGTGAATGCACACATCAGAATGAAGTTTCTCAGAATTCTCCTGTCTAGTTTTTATGTGAAGATATTTACTATTTCACTATAGGCTTCAAATGTCTCAAAAATATCCCTTTGCAGATTCTACAAAAATATGGTTTCCAAAGTGCTGAATTAAAAGAAACTTTCAACTCTTTCAGATGAATGGAGACCTCACAAAGAAGTTCCTCAGAATGCTTCTGTCTAGTTTCAATGTGAAGATATTTCTTTTTCACCATAGACCTCAAATGGCTCAGAAATATACCTTTGCAGATTGCAGTAAAAGACTGTTTCTAAACTGCTCAAACAAAATAAAGTTTCAACACTGTGTGATGAATGCACACATCACAAAGAAGTTTCTCAGAAAGCTTCTGTCTAGTTTTTATGTGAAGATATTTCCTTTTTCACCATAGGTCTCAAATTGTTCCAAATATCCATTTGCAGATTCTACAAAAAGAATGTTTCCAAACTGGTCAATCAAAAGAAAGGCTCAAATCTGTGAGACAAAAACACACATTACAAAGTTTCTCAGAAAGCTTCTGTCTACTTTTTATGTGAAGGTGTTTCCTTTTGCACCATAGGCCTTAAATCGCTCACAAATATAACTCCACTTGTACTACCAAGAGACTTTCTCCAAATTGCTAAATCCAAAGAAAGGTTCAACTCTGTGAGAAGAATGCACACATCACAAAGAAGTTTCTCAAAATGCTTCTGTCTAGGTTTCATGTGAAGATATTTATTTTTCACCATTGACCTCAAACTGCTCAGAAGTATCCCTTTGCATTTTGTACAAAAAGACTGTTTCCAAACTGCTCAATGAAAATAAATGGTCAACTCTTAGAGATGAATTAAAATGTCACAAAGAGATTTCTCAAAAAGCTACTGTGTTGTTTTTATGTGAAGATATTTCCTTTTTCACTCTAGGCCTTAAAACGCTCCAAATATACATTCGCAGATTCTACAAAAAGACTCTTTCCAAACTGCTCAATCAAAATAAAGGTTCACATCTGTGAGATGAAAGCCCACGACACAAAGAAGTTTCTCAGAAAGTTTCTATCTCATTTTTATGTGAAGATATTTCCTTTTTCACCTTTGGCCTCAAAGGGATCACAAATATCCCTATTCTGATTTTACAAAAAACTGTTTCCGAACTGCTTCATCAAAAGAAAGGTTCAACTCTGTGAGATCAATGCACACATAAAAAATTAGTTTCTCAGAAGGCTTCTGTCTGTTTTTATGTGAAGATATTACTTTTTCAACATAGGTCTCAAACTGCAAACCAATATTCCTTTACAGATTGCACAAAAAGTATGTTTCCACACTGCTCAATGAACAGAAAGGTTCAACTCAGTGAGATGAATGCAAACATCACAAAGAGTTTTCTCAAAATGCTTCTGTCTAGGTTTTAGGTGAAGATATTTACTTTTTCACCATAGGCCTCAAACCACTCACAAATATCCCTTTGCAGATTCTACAAAATGAATTGTTGCCAAACTGCTCAATGAAAAGCAGGGTCCAAATCTGTGAGATGAAAGTACACATCACAAGGAAGTTTCTCAGAAAGTTTCTGTCTAGTTTTTATATACAGATATTTTCTTTTTCACCATAGGCCTCAAAGCACTCCAAATATCCGTTTGCAAGTCCTACAAAAAGAGTGTTTCCAAACTGCTCAATCAAAAGAGATGTTCAACTCTGTGAGGTGAAAGCACACAACACAAAGAAGTTTTACAGAAAACTTCTGTCTAGTTTTTATATGAAGACATTTCCTATTTCACCATAGGCCCCCTATGTGCTCACAAATATCCCTTTGCAGATTCTACAAAAGGACTCTTTCCAAACTGCTCAATCCAAGGAAAGTTTCAACTCTGTGACATGAATGCACACATCACAAAGAAGTTTCTCAGAATGCTTCTCTCTAGTTTTTATGTGAAGAAATTTCCTGTTCACCATAGGCCTGAAACGCTGCAAATATCCATCTTCAGATTCTACAAAAAGACTGTTTCCAAACTGCCCAATCAAAAGAAAAGTTCAACTCTGTTAGATGAAAGCACGCATCACAAAGAAGTTTCTCAGAAAGCTTCTGTCTAGTTTTTTTGTGAAGATATTCCCTATTTCACCATAGTCCTGAAAGGGCTCACAAATATCCTTTTGCATATTATACAAAAATACTGTCTCCAAACTGCTCAATCAGAGGAAAATTTCAACTATGTGTGATGAATGCACACATTACAAAGAAGTTTCTCAGAATGCTTTTGTCTAGTTTTTATATGAAGATATTTCTCTCTCGATGGGCCTCAAATGGCTCAGAAATATCCCTTTGCAGATTGTACAAAAAGACTGTTTCCAAACTGCTCAATCAAAAGAAAGTTTCAACACTGTGAGGTGAATGCACACATCACAAAGAAGTTTCTCAGAAAACTTCTGTTAAGATTTCATGTGAAGATATTTCCTTTTTCACCATAAGCCTCAATGGGCTCAGAAGTATCCCTTTGTAGATTCTGCAAAAGGTCTGTTTAGAAAACTGCTCAATCCAAAGAAAGGTTCAACTCTGTGAGATGAATGCACACATCTCAAAGAAGTTTCTCAGAATGGATCTGTCGAGGTTTTCTGTGAAGATATATCCTTTTTAACCATAGGCCTCAAACTGCTCATGAATATCCCTCTGCAGATACTACAAAAAGACTGTTTCCAAACTGCTGCATCCAAAGAAATATTCAACTCTGTGAGATGAATACACACATCATGAAGAAGTTTCTCAGAATGCTTCTGTCTGGCTTTTATGTGAAGATATTTCCTTTCTTACCATAGGCCTCAAAATGCTCCAAATATCCATTTACAGACTCTACAAAAAGAGCATTTCCAAACTGCTCATTCAAAAGATAGGTTCAACTATGTGAGAAGAAAGCACACATCACAAAGTAGTTTCTCAGAAAGCTCCTGTCTAGTTTTTATGTGAAGATATTTCCTTTTTCAACATAGGCTGTAAAGGGATCACAAATATTTTTTACAGATTCTACAAAAAGACTGTCCAAACTGCTCAATCCAAAGAAAGGTTCAACTCTGTGAGATGAATGGACACATCACAAAGAAGTTTCTCAGAATGCATCTGTCCAGTTTTTATGTGAAGATATTTCTTTTTCACCCTAGGCCTCAATGGGCTCAGAAATATCCCTTTGCAGATTCTAAAAAAGTATAGTTTCCAAACTGCTCAATCTAAAGAAAGTTTCACCTCAGTGAGTTGAATGCACACATCACAGAGAAGTTTCCCATAATGCTTCTGTCTAGCTTTTATGTGAAGGTATTCCCTTTTTCACCATAGACCTCAAACCACTCACAAATATCCCTCTGCAGATACAACAAAAAGACTGTTTCCAATCTGCTCAATCAAAAGATAGGCTCAACAACGTGAGATGAATGTATACGTCACAAAGAAGTTTCACAGAATGCTTCTGTCTAGTTTTAATGTGAAGATATTTACTTTTTCACCATAGGCCTCAAAACACACAAAACATCCATTTGCAAATTCCACAAAAAGAC
>NT_187424.1:84349-92983 GCF_000001405.40 Homo sapiens
AGAATGCTTCTGTCTAGTTTATATGTGAAGATATTATTGTTTCACTATAGGCCTCAAAGCACTCAGAAATATCCCTTTGCACTTTGTATAAAAAATTCTTTCCAAACTGCTCAATGAAAAGAAAGATTCATCTCTGTGAGATGAATGCACACATAAAATATACGTTTCTCAGAATGCTTCTGTCTAGTTTAATGTGAAGATATTTCCTTTTTCACCATAGGCCTTAAACTGCTCACAAATATCCCTCTGCAGATACTACAAAAAGACTGTTTCCAAACTGCTCCAAGAAAAGAAAGGTTCAAATCTGTGAGGTGAATGCACACATCACAAAGGAGTTTCTCAGAATGATTCTATCTACTTTTTATGTGAAGATAATTCTTTTTCACCATAGGCATCAAACGGCTCAAAAATATCTCTTTGCAGATTGTACAAAAGGATGGTTTCCAATCTGCTCAATCAAAAGAAAGGATCAGCTCTGTGATATGAGTCCACGCATCACAAATAAGTTTCTCAGAAAGCTTCTTTTTAGTGTTTTTGTGAAGATATTTCCTTTTTCTCCATAGGCCTAAAAGCACTGCAAATATCCATTTGCAGATTCTACAAAAAGGCTGTTTCCAAACTGCTCAATCAAAAGAAAATTTCACCTCTGTGAGATTAAAGCACACATCACAAAGCATTTTCTCAGAAAGATTCTGTCTAGTTTTTATGTGAAGGAATTTCCTATTTCACCTTAGGCTGCAAAGGGCTCACAAATATCCGTTTGCATATTCAAAAAAAAAGACTGTTTCCAAACTGTTCACACAAAAGAAAGATTCAACTCTGTGAGATGAATGCACACATCAGAAAGAGATTTCTCAGAATGCTTCTGTCTAGTTTTTATGTGAAGATATTTCTTTTTCACCATCAGCCACAAACGGCTCAGAAATATCCCTTTGCAGATCTTACAAAAAGACTGTTTCCAACCTGCTCAATCAAAAGAAAGTTTCAATGCTGATAGACGAATGCACACATCAAAAAGAAGGTTCTCAGAACACTTCTGTTTTGCTTTTATTTGAAGATATTTCCTTTTTCACCATAGGACTCAGTGGGCTCATAAATATCTCTTTGCAGATTCTACAAAAGGACTGTTTAGAAAACTGCTGAATCCAAAGAATTATTCAACCCTGTGAGATGAATGCACACATCACAAAGAGGTTTTGCAGAATGCATCTGTCTAGTTTTTATGTGAAGATATTTCTTTTTTCACCATAGGCCTCAAAGCGCTCCAAATACCCATTTGTAGATTCTACAAAAAGAGTGTTTCCAATCTGCTCTATCAAAAAGAAAGGTTCAATCCTGTGACACGGAAGTAAACATCACAAAGAAGTTTCTCGGAAAGCTTCTGTCTAGTTTATATGTGAAGATATTTCCTATTTTACCATGGGCCATATAGGGCTCACAAATATTTTTTGCAAATTCTACAAAAAGACTGTTTCCAAACTGCTCAATCCAAAGAAAGTTTCAACACTTTGAGATGAATGGGCACACCACAAAAAAGTTTATCAGAATGCTTCTATCTAGTTTTTATGTGAAGATATTTCTTTTTCACCCTAGGCTTCAATGGGCTCAGAAATATCCCTTTGCAGATTCTACGAAAGGACTGTTTCCAAACTTCTCAATCAAAGAAAGGTTCAACTCTATAAGATGAATGTACACATCACATGGATGTTTCTCTCAATCCTTCTGTATATTTTTTTATGTGAAGGTATTTCCTTTTTCAGCATGGGCCTCAAAGTGCTCAAAATATCCATTTGCTGATTCCACAGAAAGACTGTTTCCAAACTCCTCAATCGAAGAAGGATTCAACTGTATGAGATGAATGCACACATCACAGAGATGTTTCTTACAATGCTTCTGTCTATTTTTTATGTGAAGGTATTTACTTTTTCACCAAAGGCCTCAAAGCGCTCCAAACATCCATTTGCTGATTCCGCAAAAAGACTGTTTCCAAACTGCTCAATCAAAAGAAAGCTACAACTCCGTGTGTTGAAAGCACACATCACAAAGAAGTTTCTGAGAAGGATTCTGTCTAGTTTTTCTGTGAGGACATTTCCTGTTTCACCATGGGCCATAAAGGGCTCAAAAATATTTTTCGCAGATTCTACAAAAAGACTGTTTCCAAACTTCTCAATCCAAAGAAAGGTTCAACTCTGTGAGATGAATGGACACAAGACAAAGAAGTTTCTCAGAATACTTCTGTCTAGGGTTTATGTGAGATATTTCCTTTTTCACCATAGGCCTCAAAGCACTCCAAATATCCATTTGCAGATTCCACAAAAAGACTGTTTCCAAATTGCTCAATGAAAAGAGAGTTTCAACTCTGTGAGGTGAAAGCACACATCACAAAGAAGTTTCTCAGAATGTATCTTTCTAGTTTTTTTGTGAAGATATTTTCTTTTTCACCATAGGCCTCAAAGCACTCCAACTATCCATTTGCAGATTCTACCAAAAGACTGTTTACAAACTGCTAAATCAAAAGAAAATTTCAGCTCTGTGATATGAATGCAGGCATCACAAAGAAGTTTCTCAGAAAGCTTCTGTTTAGTGTTTATCTGAAGATATTTCCTTTTTCACCATAGGCCTCAAAGCTCTCCAAATAAGCATTTCCAGATTCTATAAAAAGTCTGTTTCAAAACTGCTCAATGAAAAGAAAGGTTCAACTCTGTGAGATGAAAGCACATATCACAAAGAAGTTTCTCAGAATGTTTCTTTCTAGTTTTTTTGTGAAGATATTTCCTTTTTCACCATTGGCCTCAAAGCACTCCAAATATCCATTTGCAGATTCTACAAAAAGACTGTTTACAAACTGCTCAATCAAAACAGGGTTTCAACGTTGTGAGATGAATGCACGCATTACAAAGTAGTTTCTCAGAACGCTTCTGTTTAGTTTTTATGTGAAGATATTTGCTTTTCCACCATAGGCCTCAAAACTCTCCAATTATCCATTTGCAGATTATGCAAAAAGAGTGTTTCCAAACTGCTCAGTCAAAAGAAATGCTTAACTCTTTGAGATGAAAGCACTCATTAAAAATAAGTTTCTCAGAAAGTTTCTGTCTAGCTTTTATGGGAAGATATTTCCTATATCACCAAAGGCCTCAATCGGCTGAGAAATACCCCTTTGGTGATTCTACAATAGGAATGTTTCCAAACTGCTCTAGCAAAGGAAAGGTTCAAATCTGTGAGATGAATGCACAGATCACAAAATGTTTCTCAGAAAGTTTCTGTGTAGTTTTTATGTGAAGATATTTCCTAGTTCACCATAGGCCTCAAAGGGTTCACAATTATCCCTTTGTAGATTTTACAAAAAGACTGTTTCCAAATATTCAATCAAAGAAATGTTCAGCTGTGTGAGAAGACTGCAAGCTTCAAAAAGAAGTTTCTCAGAATTCTTCTGTCGAATTTTTATGTGATGATATTTCCTTTTTTACCACAAGCCTCAAAGCGCTCCAAATATCCATTTGCAGATTCTACAAAAAGAGTGTTTCCAAACTGATCAACCAAAAGAAAAGTTCAACTCTGTGAGATGGAAGCACACATCACAAAGAAGTTTCTTAGAAATCTTCTGTCTAGTTTTTATGGGAAAATATATCATATTTCACCATAGACCTCAATGGGCTCAGAAATATACCTTTGAAGATTCTACAAAAGGATTGTTTCCAAACTGCTCAATCCAAAGAAAGGTTCAACACTGTCAGATGAATTCACACATCACAAAGAAGTTTCTCAGAAAGCTTCTGTCTAGTTTTTATGTGAATATATTTCCTTGTTCACCATAGGCCTCAAATTCGCGCAAACATCCCTCTACAGATACTACAAAAAGACAGTTTCCAAACTGTTTAATATAAAGAAGGGTTCAACTCTGTGTGATAAATGCACACATCACCAAGAAGTTTCTCAGAATGCTTCTGTCTAGTTTTTATGTGAAGATGTTTCCTTTCTCAAGAAGGCCTCACACCGCTCCAAATATCCATTTGCAGATTCTACAAAAAGATGGTTTCCAAACTGCTCAATGAATAGGAAGGTTCAACTCTGTGAGATGAAAGCACACGTAACAAAGTAGATTCATAGAATGTTGCTTTCTAGTTTTTATGTGAAGATATTTCCTTTTTCACCATAGTACTCAAACTGCTCCAAATATCCATTTGCAGATTCTAGAGAAAGTGTGTTTCCAAACTGCTCCATCAAAAGAAAGGTTCTACTCTGTGAGATGAAAGCACACATCACAAAGAAGTTTCTCCGAAATCTTCTGACTAGTTTTTATGTGAAGATATTTCCTATTTCACCATAGGCCTCAAAGGGCTCACAAATATCCCTTTGCAGATTCTACAAAAGGACTGTTTTGAAACTGCTCAATCAGAAGAAAGGTTAAACTCTGTGAGATGAGTGCATACATCACAAAGAAGTTTCTCAGAATGCTTCTGTCTAGTTTTCAGGTGAAGATATTTCTTTTTTCACCATAGGCCTCAAAGTGCTCCAAATATCCATTTCCATATTCTACAAAAAGGCCGTTTCCAAACTCCTCAATCAAAAGAGAGGTTCAACTCTGTGTGATGAAAGCACACTTCATGAAGAAGTTTCTCAGAATGCCTCTGTCTAGTTTTTATGTGAAGATATTTCCTATTTCACCTTAAGCCATAAAGGGCTCACAAATATCCCTCTGCAGATTCTAGAAAAGGACTCTTTCCAAACTGCTAAATAAAAAGAAAAGTTCAACTCTGTGAGATGAATGCACACATCGCAAATAAGTTTCTCTGAAAGCTTCTGTCCACTTTTTATGTGAAGATATTTCCCTTTTCACCATACCTATCAAAGCGCTCAAAATGTCCCTTTGCAAATTCTCTGAAAAGACTGTTTCCAAACTTCTCAATCAAAAGAATGGTTCAACTCTGTGAGATGAATGCACGTATCACAAAGAAGTTTCTCTGAAACCTTCTGTGTAGTTTTTATGTGAAGATATTTCCTTTTTCACCATAGGCCTCAAGCCACTCACAAATATCCCTTTGCATATTTTACAAGAACAGAGTTTCCAGACTCATCAAAGAATAGAAAATTTTTTGTCTCTGAGATGAGTGCACACCTTGCAAAACAGCTTCTCAGAAACATTCTTTATAGTTTTTATTGAAGATATTTCCTTTTTCACCATAGGCCTCATAAAGCTGACAAATATCCCTTTGAAGATTCTACAAAAAGTCTGTTTACAAACTGCTCAATCAAAAGAATGGTTCAACTCTGTGAGATGAATGCACACACCACAAAGAGGTTTCTCAGAAATCTTCTGTCTAGTTTTTATGTGAAGATATTTTCTTTCTCAACATAGGCCTCAAAGGGCTCACAATTATCCCTTTGCAGATTCTACAAATGGACAGTTTTCAAACTGCTCAGTCAAAAGACTGTTTCAACTATGTGAGATGAATGTACACATGACAGAGAGGTTTCTCAGAGAACTTCTGTCTATTTATTATGTGAAGGTATTTCCTTTTTCACCAAAGGCCTCAAAGCGCTCACAAATATCTCCTTGCAGATTCTACAAGAACAGAATACCCAAACTGATTAATCAGAAGAATGCTACACATAAAATCTCTGGAAGAAAACCTAGGCAAAACCATTCAGGACATAGGCATGGGCAAGGACTTCATGTCTAAAACACCTAAAGCAATGGCAACAAAAGCCACAATTGACAAATGGGATCTAATTAAACTAAGGAGCTTCTGCACAGCAAAAGAAACCACCATCAGAGTGAACAGGAATCCTACAGAATGGGAGAATACTTTTGCAACCTACTCATCTGACAAAGGGCTAATATCAGGAATCTACAATGAACTCAGACTAATTTACAGGAAAAAAACAAACAACCCCATCAAAAAGTGGGTGAAGTATATGAACAGACATTTCTCAAAAGAAGACATTTATGCAGCCAATGAACAAATGAAAAAATGCTTATCTTCACTGGCCATCAGAGAAATGCAAGTCAAAACCACAATGAGATACCATCTCACACCAGTTAGAATGGCGATCATTAAAAAGTCAGGAAACAACAGGTGCTGGAGAGGATGTGAGAAATAGGAACACTTTTGTGCTGTCGGTTGCAGTGTAAACTAGTTCAACCATTGTGGAAGTCGGTATGGTGATTCCTCAGGGATCTAGAACTAGAAATACCATTTGACCTAGCCATCCCATTACTGGGTATATACCCAAAGGATTATAAATCATGCTGCTATAAAGACACATACACACGTATGTTTATAGTGGCACTATTCACAATAGCAAAGACTTGGAACCAATGTAAATGTCCAACAACGATAGACTGAATGAAGAAAATGTGGCACATATACATCATGGAACACTATGCGGCCATAAAAAATGATGACTTCATGTCCTTTGTAGGGACATGGATGAAGCTGGAAACCATCATTCTCAGCGAACTATCACAAGGACAAAAAATAAAACACCACATGATCTCACTCATAGTTGGGAATTGATCAAAGAACACATGGACACAGAAAGAGAACCATCACACACCACAAACCAGAGAGTGTAGTCCGGTGTGGGGAGGGGGAGGGATAGACTTAGGAGATATACCTAATGCATACAAACATGGCAAATGTATACATATGTAACAAACCTACACGTTGTACACATGTTCCCTAAAACATAAAGTATAATAATAATAAAAGTAAATAAATAATTAAACAGAGAGCTCCAAAAAAAATAAGAATGGTTCAACTCTATGAGATGAATGCACACATCACAAATAAGTTTTCAGAAAGTTTCTGTCTACATTTTATATGAAGATATTTCCTTTTTCACCATAGGCCTCAAAGCACTCACAAATATCCCTTTGCAGATTCTACAAGAAAAGATTTTCCCATCTGCTCAATGAAAAGAAATGTTTACCTCTGTGAGATGAATGCATACATTACAAAGCAGTTTCTCAGAAACCTTCTGTCTAGTTTTTATGTGAAGATATTTACTTTTTCCCCATAGGCCTCAAAGCGCTCACAAATATCCTTTGTTGATTCTACAAAAAGACTGTTTCCAAACTGCTCAATCAAAAGAATGGCTCAACTGATTCAGATGAGTGCACACATAACACAGAAGTGTCCCAGAAAGCTTCTGTCTAGTTTTCTTGTGAAGATATTTCCTTTTCCACCATTGGCCCACAAGTGTTCACAAATAATCCTTTGCAAATTCTACAAAAAGACGGTTTCCAATACACTCAATCAATAGAAAGGTTCAATTCTGTGAGATGAATTCACACATCAAAAAACAGTTTCTCAGAAACCTTTTTTCTAGTTTTTCTGTGAAGATATTTGCTTTTTCACCATAGGCTTCAAAGCGCTCACAAATGTCCTTTTGCAGATTCTACAAAAAGACTGTGACCAAACTCCTCAATCAATAGAATGGATCGACTCTGTGAAATGAATGAACACATCACAAAAAAGTTTCTCAGAATGTTTCTGTCTAGTTTTCACGTGAAGATTGGAGTACAGTGGAATGGAATGGAATGGAGTGAAGTGGAATGGAATGGAATGGAATGGAATGGAATGGAATGGAATGAAGTGGAATGGAATGGAATGGAGTGGAGTGGAGTGATGTGTATTGGACTGGAGTGGAGTGGAGTGGAATGGAATGGAGTGGATTTGAAAGGAATGGAATGGAATGGAGGGGAGTGGAGTGGAGTGGAATGGAGTGGAATGGAAAGGAGTGGAGTGGAATGGAATGGAGTGGAGTGGAGTGGAATGGAGTGGAGTGGAATGGAATGGAGTGGAATAGAATGGAGTGGAGTGGAATGGATTGGAGTGGAGTGAAGTGGAGTGGATTGGAGTGGAGTGGAGTGGAGTTGAAAGTAGTGGAATGGTATGGAATGGAATTGAATGGAATGGAGTGGAATGGAATGGAATGTAGTGGAATGGAATGGAGTGGAGTGGAGAAGAGTGGAATGTAGTGGAATGGAGTGGAGTGCAGTGGAGTTGAGTAGAGTGGATTGGAATGCAGTGGAATGGAATGGAGTGGAGTGGATTGGAGTGGAGTGGAGAGGAATGGAGTGGAATTGAATGGAGTGGAGTGGAATGGAATGGAATGGAATGGAATGGAATGGAATGGAATGGAATGGAATGGAATGAAAGGGAAAGGAATGGAATGCAGCAGAATGGAACAGAAAGAAGTACAGTGGAGTGGAGTTGAGTGGAGAGGGTCGGAGTGGAGTGGAATGGAATGGAATGGAATGGAACGGAATAGAATGGAATGGAATGGAGTAGAGTGGAATGGAGTGGACTGGAGGGGAGTGGAGTGGAGTGGAATGGAATGGAATGGAATGGCATGGAATGGAATTGAGTGGAGTGGAATGGAATGGAGTGGAACGGAGTGGAAAGGAGTGGAGTGGAATGGAAGGGAGTGGAGTGGAATGGAGTGGAGTGGAGTGGTGTAGAATGGATTGGAATGGAATGGAAGGGCATGGAGTGGAGTGGAGAGGAGTGGAATGGAGTGGATTGGAGTGAGGTGGAATGCAATGGAGTAGAATGGAATGGAGTGGAGTGGAGTTGAGTGGAGTGGATCGGAGTGCAGTGCAATGGAATGGAATGGAGTGGAGTGGAG
>NT_187425.1:0-14754 GCF_000001405.40 Homo sapiens
TCTGCTAGTGGATACTTGGAGTGCTCTGTGGCTTACTGTGGAAAAGCAAATATCTTCAGAAAAAAACCACACAGAGGCATTCTGAGAAACTTCTTCGTGATGAGTGCATTCATCTCACAAAGTTGAACCTTTCTTTTGACTGAGCAGATTTGAGTCTCTCTTTTTGTAGAATCTGCAATTGGATATTTTGAGCTCTTTAGGAAAAGGAGTTATCTTTAAATATAAACTACCCAGAAGCATTCTGAGAAACTTCTTTGTAAATTGTGCTTTCCTCTCACAGAGTAGAATCTATCTTACCACAGAGTTGAACCATTCTTTTGATTGAGCAGCTTTGAATCTATCTTTTTGTAGAATCCACCAGTGGATATTTGGAGCGCTTTGAGGCCTACAGTGGAAAAGAAAATATATTCATATAAAAACTACACAGAAGGATTCAGAGAAACCTCTTTGTGATGTGTGCATTAAACTCACCGAGTTGAACTTATCTTTTGATTCGGCAGTTTTGAATCTCTCTTTTTGTAGAATCTGCAAGTGGGTATTTGGAGCCCCTTCTGGCCTATGGTGGAAAAGGAAATTTCTTCCAATAAAAACTACACAGAAGCATTTTGAGAAACTCTTTTTTGATGTGTGCATTCATCTCAAAGTGTTGAAAATTTCTTTCGAATGAGCAGTTTTGAAACATTGTTTTTGTAGTATCTGCAAATGGATATTTGGAGAGCTCTGAGACCTTCTGCGGAAAGGAAATATCTTCACATAAAAACTATACACAACCATTCTGAGAAACTTCTTTGTGATGTGTGCAATCATCTCACAGATTTGAATTTTTCTTTTTATTGAGGAGATTTGAAACACTCTTTTGTAGAATCTGCAAGTGGTTATTTGGAGTGCTTTGAGGCCTACTGTGGAAAAGCATAAACCTCACATAAAAATTACATGGACGCATTCTGAGTAACTTCTTTGTGATGAATGCATTCACCACACAGAGTTGAAACTTTATTTTGATTGACTAGTTTTGAAATACTGTTTTTGTTGAATCTGCAAGTGGATATTTGGAGTGCTTTGAGGCCTACTTTAGAAAAGAAGATATCTTCACATAAAAACTACACAGAAATATTCTGAGAAACTTCTTTGTGATGTGTGCATTCACTTCACAGAGTTGAACTTTTCTTTTGATGGAGCCGATTTGAAACACGGTTTTTGTAGTATCTGAAAGTGGATATTTGGAGTGATTTGAGGCCGACTGTGGAAAAGCAAATATCCTCACATGAAAACTTCACAGAGGCATTTTGAGAAACTTCTTTTTGATGTGTGCATTAATCTCACAGGGTTGAACATTCTGTTGATTGAGCAGTTTTGAAAAACTCTTTTTGTAGAATCTGCAAGTGAATATTTGGAGTGCTTTTAGGCCTATGGTGGAAAAAGAAATATCTTCATATAAAAACTACACAGAAGCTTTCTTAGAAACTTCTTTGTGATGTGTGCATTTAACACACAGAGTTGAACTATCTTTTGATTGAGCAGTTTTAAATCTCTCTTTTTGTAGAATCTGCAAGTGGATATTTGGAGCCCCTTGCAGCCTATGATGGAAAAGGAAATATCTTCAAATAAAAACTACACAGAAGCATTCTGAGAAACTTCTTTGTGATATGTGAATTCATCTCACAGAGTTGAACCTATCTTATGATTGGGCTTTTAAGAAACACCGTTTTTGTAGAATCTGCAAGTGGATATTTGGAGCCCTTTGTGGCTTATTGTGGAAAAGGATATATCTTCACATAAAAACTACACAGAAACATTCTTTGAAACTTCTCTGTAATGTGTGCATTCAACACACAGAGTTGAACATATGTTTTGATTGAGCAGTTTTGAATCTCTGTTTTTGTAGAATCTGCAAGTGAGTATTTTGAACCCTTTGCAGCCTATCATGGAAAACGAAATATCTTCATATAAAAACTACACCAAAGAATTCTGAGAAACTTCTTTCTGATGTGTGCATTGAATTCAAGGAGTTGAAGCTATCTTTTGATTTAGCAGTTTTGAATCTTTTTGCAGAATCTGCCAGGGGATATTTGGAGACTTTTGCGGGCTATGGAGGAAAAGGAAATATCTTAAAGTAAAACAAAGGCATTCTGAGAAACTTCTTTGGGAGGTGTTCCTTCATCTCACAAAGTTTAAACTTTCTTTTGATTGAGCAGTTTTGAAACACTCTTTCTGTGCAATCTGCAATTGGATATTTGGAGCGCTTTGATGCATATTGTGGAAAAGGAAATATCTTCACATAAAAACTACAAAAAAGATTTCTGAGAATCTTCTTTCTGATGTGTGCATACGACTCACAGGGTTGAACCTATCTTATTATTGATCAGTTTTGAATCTCTCTTTTTATAGAATCTGCAAGTGGATATTTGGAGCCCTTTGCAGCCTAAGGTGGAAAAGGAAATATCTTCATATAAAACTACACAGAAGCATTCTGAGAAACTTCTTAGTGATGTGTGCTTTCTCTCACAATGTTCAACCTATCTTATGTTTGAGCAGTTTTGAAACACTCTTTTTGTAGAAAATGCAAGTGTATATTTGGAGCCCATGCAGCCTATTGTGAAAAAGGAAATATCTTCATATAAAAACTACACAGAAGCATTCTGAGAAACGACTTTGTGATATGTGCATTAAACCCACAGAGGTGAACCTATCTTTTCATTGAGCAGTTTTGATTCCCTCTTTTTGCAGGATCTGCAAGTGGACATTTGGAGCCCTTTGTGGCCTATGGAGGAAAAGGAAATATGTTCAAATTAAAACTACCCAGAAGCATTCTGAGGAACTTCTTTGCTATGTGTGCATTCAACTCACAGAGTTGAACCTATTTTATGATTCAGCAGTTTTGAAACACTGTTTTTGTAATATCTTCAAGTGGATATTTGGAGGGCTTTGAGGCCTACTGTGGAAAAGCAAATATCTTCACATAAAAACTTCACAGAAGCATTCTGAGAAAAATCTTTGTTATGTCTTCTTTCATCTCACACAGTTGAACCTGTCTTATGATTGAGCAGTATTGAAACAATCTTTTTGTAGAATCTGCAAGTGGATATTTGGGGGCTTTTGAGGCCTGTTTTGAAAAAGGAAATATCTTCACTTAAAAACTACAAAGAAACATTCTCAGAAAATTCTTTGTGATGTGTACATTCAACTCACAGAGTTGAACCTATTTTTTGATCGAGCAGTTTTGAATCTCTCTTTTTGTAGATTCTGCAATTTGGATTCCTTTGTGGCCTATTGTGGAAACGGAAATATCTTAAAAAAAAAAAACTACACAGAAGCAGTCTGAGAAACTTCTTTGGGATATGTGCATTCATCTCACAGAGTTGAACCTCTCTTTGGATTGAGCAGTTTTGAAAAGCTCTTTATTTGGAATCTGCAAGTGGTTATTTGGAGCGCTTTGAGGCTTATTGTCTAAAATTAAATATCTTCACATAAAAACTACACAGAAGCATTCTGAGAAGGGTCTTTGTGTTGTGTGCTTTCATTTCACCGACTTGAACTTTCTTTTGATTGAGAAGTTATGAAACACAGTTTTTGCAGAATCTGCAAGTGGATATTAGGAGTGCTTTGAGGCCTACTCTGGAAAAGCAAATATCTTCATATAAAAACTACACAGAAGCATTCTGAGAAACTTATTTGTGATGTGTACATTCATCTCAAGGAGCTGAACTTTCTTTTGATTGAGCAGTTTTGTTACACTCTCTTTGTAGAATCTGCAAGAGGATATTTGGAGTGCATTGAAGCCTACAGTGGAATAGGAAATATCTTCACATAAAAATTACACATAAGAATTCTGAGAAACTTCTGTGGATGTGTGTATTCAACTCACAGAGTTGAACCTTTCTTTTGATTGAGTAGTTTTGAAATACTCTATTTGTAGAATATGCAAGTGGATATTTGGAGCGCTTTGAGGCCAACAGTTGAACAACAAATATATTCACATTAAAACTACACAGAAGCATTCTGAGAACTTCTTTGTGATGTGTGCAATTATCTCACACAGTTGAACCTTTCTTTTGTTTGAGCAGTTTTGAAACACTCTCTTTGTAGAATCTGCAAGTGGATATTTGGAGGGCTTTGAGGCCTATTTTGGAAAACGAAATATCTTCACATAAAAACTACACAGAATCATTCCGAGAAACTTCTTTGGATATGTGCATTCATCTCACATAGTTGAAACTTTGGATTGAACAGTTTTGAAGCACTTTTTTTGCATAATCTGCAAGTGGATATTTGAAATGCTTTGAGGCCTATTGTGGAAAAGGAAAATATCTTCACATAAAAACTACACAGAAGCAATCTGAGAAACTCCTTTGTGATATGTGCATTCAACTCACAGAGTTGAACCTATCTTTTGATTGAGCCACTTTGAAACTCTCTTTTTATAGTATCTGCAAGTGGATATTTGGAGCCTTTTGTGGCCTATTGTGGAAAAGGAAATGCCTTCACATAAAAAACACAAAGAAGTTTTCTGAGAAACTTCTTTGTGATGTGTGCATTCATCTCACAGAGATGAACATTTCTCTTGATTGAGCAGTTTTGAAACAATCTTTTTGAAGTATCTGCAAGTGAATATTTGGAGCACTTTGAGGCCTGTTGTGTAAAAGGAAATATCTTCACATAAAAACTACACAGAAGCTTTCTGAGAAACTTCTCTGTGATGTGTGCATTCAACTCACGGAGGTGAATCTGTCTTTTCATTGAACAGTTTTGAAACTCTCTTTCTGTAGAATCTGCAAGTGGATATTTGGAGGCATTTGCAGCGTATGGTGGAAATGGGAATATCTTCAACTAAAAACTACACAGAAGCATTCTGAGAAAATTCATGGTGATGTGTGCATTCATCTCACAGAGTTGAACCTTTCTTTTCATTGAGCAGTTTTGAAACACTCTTTCTGTACAATCTGCAAGTTGATATTTGGAGTGCTTAGATTCCTATTGTGGAAGAGGAAATATCTTCACATAAAAACTGCACAGAATCATTCTGAGAAACTTGTTTGCGATATGTGCATTCATCTCACAGTGTTGAACCTTTCTTTTCACTCAGCAGTTTTGAAACTCTATTTTTGTGGAATCTGCAAGTGGATATTTGGAGCGCTTCGAGGCCTATAGTGGAAATGGGAATATCTTCACATAAAAACTGCACAGAAGCATTCTGAGAAACAACTTTGTTAAATGTGCATTAAATGCACAGAGTAGAAACTATCTTTTGATTGAGCAGTTTTGAATCTCTCTTTTTGTAGAATCTGCAAGAGGATATTTGGAGCCCTTTTTGGCCTATGGTGGAATAGGAAATACCTTCACATAAAAACTACAAAAAAGATTTCTGAGGAACGTCTTGGTCATGTGTGCCTTCATCTCACAGAGTTGATCCTTTCTTTTGATGGAGCAGTTTGGAAACACTCTTTTTGTAGTATCTACAAGTGGATGTTTGGATCGCTTTGTGGCCTATGGTGGAAAAGGAAATATCTTCACATGAGAACTACACAGAAGCATTCTGAGAAACTTCTTTGTGATGTGAGCTTTCATCTTACAATGTTGAACCTATCTTATGATTGAGTAGTTTTGAAACACTCTTTCTGTAGAAAGTGCAAGTGTATATTTGGAGCCCATGTTGCCTATTGTGAAAAAGGTAATATCTTCACATAAAAACTACACAGAAGCATTCTGAGAAACTACTTGGTGATATGTGCATTAAACTCACAGAGTTGAACCTATCTTTTCATTGAGCAGTTTTCATTCCCTCTTTTTGTAGGATCTGCAAGTGGACATTTGGAGCCCTTTGTGGCCTATGGTAGGAAAAGGAAATATCTTCAAATAAAAACTACCCAGAAGCATTCTGAGGAATTTCTTTGCAATGTGTGCATTCAACTCACAGAGTTGAACCTATCTTATGATTCAACAGTTTTGGAACACTGTTTTTGTAGAATCTTCAAGTGCATATTTGGAGCGCTTTGAGGCCTACTGTGGAAAAGCAAATATCTTCACATAAAAACTTCACAGAAGCATTCTGAGAACCTTCTTTGTGATGGCTGCATTCATCTCACACAGTTGAACCTGTCTTATGATTGCGCAGTATTGAAACAATCATTTTGTAGAATCTGCAAGTGGATATTTGGAGTGCTTTGAGGCCTATTGTGGAAAACGAAATATCTTAATGTGAAAACTACACAGAAGTATTCTGATAAACATATTCGTGATGTGTGAATTCATCTCACAGATTTGAAACTGTCTTATGATTTAGTAGATTTGAAACACTCTAGTTGTAGAATCTGAAAGTGGATATTTGGGGCGTTTTGAGGCCTATTGTGGAAAAGGAAATATCTTCACATAAAAACTATACGGAAGAATTCTGAGAAACTTCTTTGTGAAATGTGCATACATCTCACAGAGTTGAACCTATCTTATGATTGATCAGTTTTGAATCTCTCTTTTTATAGAATCTGCAAGTGGATATTTGGAGCAATTTGCGGTCTGTGGTGGGAAAGGAAATGTCTTCAAATAAAACCTACACAGAAGCATTCTGAGAAACTTCTTTGTGATGTGTGCATTCATCTCACAGAGTTGAACCTATCTTATGATTGAGCAGTTGTGAAATACTCTTTTTGTAGAATGTGCAAGTGGATATTTGGAGCGGTTTGAGGCCTATTGTGGAAAAGGAAATATCTTCACGTAAAAGGTACACTGAAGCCTTCTCAGAAGCTACATTGTGATATGTGCATTCACCTTACAGAGATGAATCTTTCTTTTGATTGAGCAGTTTTGAAACACTCTTTTTGTAGCATCTGCAAGTGGAAATTTGGAGCTTTTTGAGGCCTATTGTGGAAAAGGAAATATCTTCACATAAAAACTACACAGAAGCATTCTGAGAAACTTCTGTGTGATGTGCGCGTTCAGCTCACATGTTTGAACCTATTTTATGATTGAGCAGTTTTGAAACACTCTTTTTGTAGAATCTGCAAGTGGATATTTGGAGCGCATGAGGCCTACTCTTTAAAAGAAAATATCTTCACTTAAAGACCACACAGAAGCTTTCTGAGAAACTTCTTTGTGATGTGTGCATCCATCTCACAGAGTTAATCCTTTCTTTTGATTGAGCAGTTTTGAAACACTCTTTTTGTAGAATCTGCCTTTGGATATTTGGAGAACTTTGATGCAGATTGTGCAAAAAAATTTTTTTCAAATAATAACTACACAGTAGCATTCTGATAAATTTCTTCGTGAATTGTGAATTCAACACACAGAGTTTAACCTAGGGTTTGTTTGAGCAGTTTTGAATCTCTCTTTTTGTAGAATCTGAAAGTGGATATTTGGAGCGCTTTGAGGCCTATTGTGGAAAAGGAAATATCTTCACATAAAAATTTCACAGAAGCATTCTGAGCGACTACTTTGAGATGAGTGCATTCATCACACAGATTGAACATGTCTTCTGATCGAGCAGTTTTGAAACACACTTTTTGTAGAATCTGCAAGTGGATATTTGGGGTCTTTGAGGCCTGTTTTGAAAAAGGAAATATCTTCACGTAAAAACTACACAGTAGCATTCTGAGAAAATTCTTTGTGATGTGTACATTCAACTAACAGAGTTCAACCTATTTTTTGATTGAGCAGTTTTTGAATCTCTTTTAGTAGAATATGCAACTGGATGTTTGGAGTCCTTTGTGGCCTATGGTGGAAACGGAAATATCTTCAAAAAAAACTACACAGGAGCAGTCTGAGAAACTTCTTTGTGATGTGTGTATTCATCTCACAGAGTTCAACCTCTCTTTGGATTGAGCAGTTTTGAAACACTCTTTTTGTAGAATCTGCAAGAGGTTACTTGGAGCGCTTTGAAGCTTATTGTCTAAAAGGCAATATCTTCACATAAAAACTACACAGAAGCATTCTGAGAAGAGTCTTTGCATTGTGTGCTTTCATCTCACAGAGTTGAAACTTTCTTTTGGTTGCGCAGTTATGAAACACAGTTTTGGCAGGATCTGCAAGTGGATATTAGAAGCGCTTTGAGGCCTAATCTGGAAAAGCAAATATTTCACATAAAAACTACACAGAAGCATTCTGAGAAACTTCTTTGTGATGTGTGTATTCAACTCACAGAGTTGAACCTTTCTTTTGATTGAGTAGTTTTGAAACACTCTCTTTGTAGAATCTGCAAGTGGATATTTGGAGGGCTTTGAGGCCCATTTTGGAAAACGAAATATCTTCACATAAAATCTACACAGAATCATTCTGAGAAACTTCTTTGTGATGTGTGCATTCATCTCACAGAGTTGTACCTTTTTTTTGATTGAGCAGTATTGAAACACTGTTGTTGTATAATCTGCAAGTTCATATTTGGAATGCTTTGAGGCCTATTGTGGAAAAGGAAATAACTTAAGACCACACAGAAGCATTCTGAGAAAATTCTTTGTGTTGTGTGCATTCAACTCACAGATGTGAATTAATCTTTTGATGAGCAGTTTTGAAGCTCTCTTTTTGTAGTATCTGCAGGTGTATGTTTGGAACCATTTGATGCCTATGGGGGAAAAAGAAATGCCTTCACATGAAAACTAGACAGAAGTATTCTGAGAAACTCCTTTGTGATGTGTGCATTCAACTCACAGAGTTGAACCTATCTTTTGATTAAGCCATTTTGAAACTCTCTTTTTGTAGTATATGCAAGTGGATATTTACAGCCTTTTGTGGCCTGTTGTGGAAAAGGAAATGCCTTCACATAAAAAACAGACAGAAGTATTCTGAGAAACTTCTTTGTGATGTGTGCATTCATCTCACAGAGTTCAACCTATTTTTTGATTGAGCAGTTTTGAATCTCTTTTTGTAGAATATGCAACTGGATGTTTGGAGTCCTTTGTGGCCTATGGTGGAAACGGAAATATCTTCAAAAAAAAACTACACAGGAGCAGTCTGAGAAACTTCTTTGTGATGTGTGTATTCATCTCACAGAGTTGAACCTCTCTTTGGATTGAGCAGTTTTGAAACACTCTTTTTGTAGAATCTGCAAGAGGTTACTTGGAGCGCTTTGAAGCTTATTGTCTAAAAGGCAATATCTTCACATAAAAACTACACAGAAGCATTCTGAGAAGAGTCTTTGCATTGTGTGCTTTCATCTCACAGAGTTGAAACTTTCTTTTGGTTGCGCAGTTATGAAACACAGTTTTGGCAGGATCTGCAAGTGGATATTAGAAGCGCTTTGAGGCCTACTCTGGAAAAGCAAATATTTCACATAAAAACTACACAGAAGCATTCTGAGAAACTTTTTTGTGATATCTACTTTCATCTCAAAGAGTTGAACGTTCTTTTGATTGAGCAGTTTTGTGACACTCTTTTTGTAGATTCTGCAAGAGGATATTTGGAGCGCTTTGAGGCCTATGGTGGAATAGGAAATATCTTTATGTAAAAACTACACGGAAGCATTCTGAGAAACTTCTTTGTGATGTGTGCATTCAACTCACAGAGTTGAACCTTTCTTTTGATTGAGTAGTTTTGAAACACTCTCTTTGTAGAATCTGCAAGTGGATATTTGGAGGGCTTTGAGGCCTATTTTGGAAAACGAAATATCTTCACATAAAATCTACACAGAATCATTCTGAGAAACTTCTTTGTGATGTGTGCATTCATCTCACAGAGTTGTACCTTTTTTTTGATTGAGCAGTATTGAAACACTGTTGTTGTAAAATCTGCAAGTTCATATTTGGAACGCTTTGAGGCCTATTGTGGAAAAGGAAATAACTTAAGACCACACAGAAGCATTCTGAGAAAATTCTTTGTGTTGTGTGCATTCAACTCACAGATGTGAATTAATCTTTTGATGAGCAGTTTTGAAGCTCTCTTTTTGTAGTATCTGCAGGTGTATGTTTGGAACCATTTGATGCCTATGGGGGAAAAGGAAATGCCTTCACATGAAAACTAGACAGAAGTATTCTGAGAAACTCCTTTGTGATGTGTGCATTCAACTCACAGAGTTGAACCTATCTTTTGATTAAGCCGTTTTGAAACTCTCTTTTTGTAGTATCTGCAAGTGGATATTTACAGCCTTTTGTGGCCTGTTGTGGAAAAGGAAATGCCTTCACATAAAAAACACAAAGAAGTTTTCTGAGAAACTTCTTTGTGATGTGTGCATTCATCTCACAGAGATGAACATTTCTCTTGATTGAGCAGTTTTGAAACAATCTTTTTGAAGTATCTGCAAGTGAATATTTGGAGCACTTTGAGGTCTATTGTGTAAAAGGAAACATCTTCACATAAAAACTACACAGAAACTTTCTGAGAAACTTCTCTGTGATGTGTGCATTCAACTCACGGTGTTGAACCTATCTTTTCATTGAACAGTTTTGAAACTATCTTTTTGTAGAATCTACAAGTGGATATTTGGGGCCATTTGGGGCCTATGGTGGAAATGGGAATATCTTCAACTAAAAACTACACAGAATCATTCTGAGAAACTTCATGGTGATGTGTGCATTCATCTCACAGAGATGAATCTTTCTTTTCAGTTAGCAGTTTTGAAACATTCTTTTTGTAGAATCTGCAAGTGGATAATTAGAGCGCTTTGAGGCCTATTGTTCAAAAGAAAATATCTTCACATGAAAAGTACACAGAAGCATTCCGAGTAACCTCTTTGGGATGTGTGCATTCATCTCACAGAATTGAACCTTTCTTTTGATTGAGCAGTTTTGAAAAACTCTCTATGTAGAATCTGCCAGTTGATATTTGGAGGTCTTAGATTCCTACTGTGGAAAAGGAAATACCTTCACATAAAAACTGCACAGAATCATTCTGAAAAATTTCTGTACAATATTTGCATTCATCTCACAGTGTTAAACCTTTATTTTCATTCAGCAGTTTTGAAACTTTATTTTTGTAGAATCTGCAAGTGGATATTTGGAGTGCTTCGAGGCCTATGGTGGAAACGGGAATATCTTCACATAAAAACTACACAGAAGCATTCTGAGAAACAACTTTGTTAAGTGTGCATTAAACTCACAGAGTTGAAACTATCTTTTGATTGAGCAGTTTTGAATCTCTCTTTTTGTAGAATCTGCAAGAGGATATTTGGAGCCCTTTGCGGCCTATAGTGGGAAAGGAAATACCTTCACGTAAAAACTACAAAAAAGATTTCTGAGGAACGTCTTGGTCATGTGTGCCTTCATCTCACAGAGTTGAACTTTCTTTTGATTGAGCAGTTTGGAAACACTCTTTTTGTGGTATCTAAAATTGGATGTTTGGATCGCATTGAGGCCTATGGTGGAAAAGGAAATATCTTCACATGAGAACTACACAGAAGCATTCTGAGAAACTTCTTTGTGATGTGTGAATTCATCTCACAATGTTGAACCATTCTTTTGATTGAGCAGTTTTGAAACACTCATTTTGTAGAATCTGCAAGTGAATATTTGGAGCGCTTTGTGGACTATGGTGGAAATGGATATATCTTCACATTAAAACTATGCAGAAGCATTCAGAGAAACTTCTTTGGAATGTGTGCATACAACTCACCGAGTTGAACCTATCTTTTGATTGAGCAGTTTTGAAACTCTCTTTTTGTAGAATCTGCAAGTGGATATTTTGAGCCCTTTGCAGCCTATGGTGGTAAAGGAAATATTTTCACATAATAACTACACAGAAGCAAACTGGCAAATGAGGCAGCAGTCAAGATGGCCAAATGGGAACAGCTCTGTTCTACAGTTCCTATCATGAGTGACACAGAAGATGGGTGATTTCTTCATTTCCATCTGAGATACCAGGTTCATCTCACTAGGGAGTGCCAGACTGTGGGCACAGGATACTGGGTGCAGGGTGCCATGCATGGGCTGAAGCAGAGCGAGGCATTTCCTCACATGGGAAGTGGAAGTGGTCAGGGATTTCCCTTTCCTAGTCAAATAAAGGGGCGACAGATGGCACCTGGAAAATCAGGTGACTCCCACACTAATACTGCACTTTTTCAACAGGCTTAAAAAATGGCACACCAGGATATTATATCCCACACATGGCTTGGAGGGTTTTACCTCCACAGTGTCTCACTGATTGCTAGCACAGCAGTCTGTGATCAAAGTACAAGGTGGCAGTAAGGCTGGTGGTGGGGCAACCTCCATTGCCCAGGCTTTCTTAGGTAAACAATGCTGCTGGAAAGCTCGAACTGGGTGTAGACGACCACAGCTCTAGGAGGCCTGCATGACTCTGTAGGCTCCACATCTGAGAGCAGGGCACAGACAAACAAAAAGACAGCAGTAAACTCTGCGGACATAAATGTCCCTGTCTGACAGCTTTGAAGAGAAAAGTGGTTCTCCCAGAACACAGCTGGAGATCTGAGAACGGGCAGACTGCCTCCTCAAGTGGGTCCCTGACCCCTGAACTATGAGCAGCCTAACTGAGAGGCACAACCAAGTAGGGGCAGACTGACACCTCACACGGCCGGGTAGTCCTCTGAGACAAAATTTCCAGAGCAAAGATCAGACAGCAGCATTCATGGTTCATGAAAATCCACTGTTCTGCAGTCACCGCTGCTGATACCCAGGCAAACAGGATCTGGAGTGGACCTCTAGTAAACTCCAAGAGACCTGCAGCTGAGGGTCTGCCTGTTAGAAGGAAAACTAACAAACAGAAAGGACATCCACAGCAAAAACCCAACTGTACATCACCATCATCAAAGACCAAAAGTAGGTAAAACCACAAAGATGAGGAAAAAACAGAGTAGAAAAACTGGAAACTCTAAAAAGCAGAGTGCCTCTCCTCCTCCAAAGGAATGCACTTCCTCACCAGCAATGGAACAAAGCTGGACAGAGAATGACTTTGACAGGTTGAGAGAAAAAGGCTTCAGATGATCAAACTACTCCAAGCTACAGGAGGAAATTCAAACCAAAGGCAAAAAAGTTAAAAGCTTTGAAAAAAATTTCGACGAATGTATAACTAGAATAACCAATACAGAGAAGGGCTTAAAGGAGCTGATGGAGCTGAAAGCCAAGGCTCTAGAACAACGCGAAGAATGCAGAAGCCTCAGGAGACAATGCAATCAACTGGAAGAAAGGGTATCAGTGATGGAAAATGAAATGAATTAAATGAAGCGAGAAGGGAAGTTTAGAGAAAAAAGAATAAAAAGAAATGAACAAAGCCTTCAAGAAATATGGGACTATGTGAAAAGACCATATCTTTGATTGGTGTACCTGAAAGTGATGTGGAGATTGGAACTAAGTTGGAAAACACTCTGCAGGATATTATCCAGGAGAACTTCCCCAATCTAGCAAGGCAGGCCAACATTCAGATTCAGAAAATACATAGAATGCCACAAAGATAATCCTCGAGAAGAGCAACTCCAAGACACATAATTGTCAGATTCACCAAAGTTGAAATGAAGCAAAAAATGTTAAGGGCAGCCAGAGAGAAAGGTCAGGTTACCCTCAAAGGGAAGCCCATCAGACTAACGCTGATCTCTTGGCAGAAACTCTACAAGCCAGAAGAGAGTGGGGGCCAATATTCAACATTCTTAAAGAAAAGAATTTTCAACCCAGAATTTGATATCCAGCCAAACTAAGCTTCATAAGTGAAGGAGAAATAAAATACTTTACAGACAAGCAAATGCTGAGAGATTTTGTCGCCACCAGGCCTGCCCTAAAAGAGCTCCTGAAGGAAGCACTAAACATGGAAAGAAACAACCAGTACCAGCCACTGCAAAATCATGCCAAATTGTAAAGACCATTGTGGCTAGTAAGAAACTACATCAACTAAAGAGTAAAATAACCAGCTAACATCATAAAGACGGATCAAAATCACACAAAACAATATTAACTCTAAATGTAAATGGACTAAATGCTCCAATTAAAGACATAGACTGGCAATTTGGATAAAGAGTCAAGACCCATCAGTGTGCTGTATTTAGGAAACCTATCTCACATGCAGAGACACACATAGGCTCAAAATAAAACGATGGAGTAAGATCTACCAAGTAAATGGAAAATAAAAAAAGACAGGGGTTGCAATCCTAGTCTCTGATAAAACAGACTTTAAACCAACAAAGATCAAAAGATACAAAGAAGGCCATTACATAATGGTAAAGGGATCAATTCAACAAGAAGAGCTAACTATCCTAAATATATATGCACCCAATACAGGAGCATCCAGATTCTTAAAGCAAGTCCTGAGTGACCTACAACGAGACTTAGACTCCCACACAATAATAATAGGAGACTTTAACATCCCACTGTCTATATTAGACAGACCAAAGAGACAGTTAACAAGTATACCCAGGAATTGAACTCAGCTCTTCACCAGAGGATCTAATAGACATCTACAGAACTCTCCACCCCAAGTCGACAGAATATACATTTTTTTCAGCACCACACTGCACCTATTCCAAAATTGACCACATAGTTGGAAGTAAAGCCCTCCTCAGCAAATGTAAAAGAATAGAAATTATAACAAACTGTCTCTCAGACCACAGTGCAATCAAACTAGAACTCAGGATTAAGAAACTCACTCAAAACCACTCAACTACATGGAAACTGAACAACCTGCTCCTGAATGACTACTGGGTACATAACGAAATGAAGGCAGAAATAAAGATGATCTTTGAAACCAACGAGAACAAAGACACAACATACCAGAATCTCTGGGACACATTCAAAGCAGTGTGTAGAGGGAAATTTATAGCACTAAATGCCCACAAGAGAAAGCAGGAAAGATCCAAAATTGACACCCTAACATCACAATTAAAAGAACTAGAAAAGC
>NT_187425.1:19867-23243 GCF_000001405.40 Homo sapiens
ACAGAAGCATTCTGAGAAACTTTTTGTGATGTGTGCATTCATCTCATGGAGTTGAACCTATCTTTTGATGGAGCAGTTTTGAAACTCTCTTTTTGAAGAGTCTGGAATGGGTATTTGGAGGCCTTTGTGGCATATATTGCAAAAGGAAATATCTTCACATAAAAACTACACAGAAGCATTCTGAGAAACTTCTTTGTGATGTGTGCACTCAACTCACAGAGTTGAAGCTACCTTTGAATGAGTAGTTTTGAATCTCTCCTTCTGTAGAATCTGCAAGTGGATATTTGGAGCCCTTTGCAGCCTATGGTGGAAAAGGAAGTATCTTCACATAAAAACTACACAGAAGCATTCTGAGAAAATTTTTGCTGTTGTGTGCATTCAACTCACACACTTGAACCTATCTTTTGATTGAGCAATTTTGAAACCCTGTGTTGGAAGAATCTGAAAGTGGATATCTGGAGCGCTTTGGTGCCTATTGTGGAAAAGGAAATATCTTCAAAAAAAAAAAAAAAAACACATGGAAACATTCTGAGAAACTTCTTTGTGATGTATGCATTCATCTCACAGAGTTGAACCTTTCTGTTGATTGAGCAGTTTTCACATTCTTTTTCTAGAATCTGCAAGTGGATATTTGGAGCTCTTTGAGGCCTATTGTGGAAAATGAAATATCTTCACATAAAAATTACAAAGAAGCATTCTGAGGAAGTTCTTTGTGATGTGTGCATTCATTTGACAGAGTTGAACATTTCTTTTGTTTGAGCTGTTTGGGATCACTCTTTCTGTAGAATCTGCAAGTAGATATTTAGAGAGTTTTGAAGCTTATGGTGTAAAAGTAAATATCTTCACATAAAAACTACGCAGAAGCATTCTGAGAAACTTCTTTGTGATGAGTGCCTTCATAACACAGAGTTGAATCTATCTTTTGATTCAGTAGTTTTGAATCTCTCTTTATGTCGAATCTGCAAGTAGATATTTGAAGCCCTTTTCAGCCTATGGAGGAAAAGGAAGTACCATGAAATAAAAACTACACAGAAGCATTCTGAGAATCTTCTTTTGGTTGTGTGCATTCATCTCACAGTGTTAAACCTTTCTTTTGGTAGAGCATTTTTGAAACACTGTTTTTGAAAAATCTGCAAGAGGATATTTGGAGCACTTTGAGGCCTATTGTGGACAAGTAAATATGATAACATAAAAACTATAAAGAAGCATTCTGAGTAACTTCATTTGATGTGTGCATTCACCACACAGAGTTGAACCTATCTTATGATTGAGCAGTTTTGAAACACTCTCTTTGTATAATCTTCAAGTTGATATTTGAAGCACTTTGAGGCCTATTGTGGAAAAGTAACATCTTCACATAAAAATTGCACAGAAGCATTATGAGAATCTTCTTTGTGATGTGTGCATTCATCTCACAGATGTGAACCTTTCTTTTGGTAGAACAGTTTTGAAACACGGTTTTTGTAAAATCTGCAGGAGGATATTTTGAGCGCTTTGATGCCTACTGTGGAAAACTAAATATTTTCACATAAAAACTATGCAGAGGCATTCTGAGTAAGTACTTTGTGATGTGTGCATTCATCTCACAGAGTTGTACATTTCTTTTGATTGAGCAATTTTGAAACACTCTTTCTGTAGAATCTGCAAGTGGATATTTTGAGCACTTTGAGGACTATAGTGGAAAAGGAAATATCTTCACATAAAAACTACACAGAAGTATTCTGAGAAACTTCTTTGCCATGTGAGCATTCAACACACAGAGTTGAACCTATCTTTTGATAGATCAGTTTTGAATCTCTCTTTTTGTAGAATCTGCAAGAGGATATTTGGATACCTTTGTGGTCTATGGAGAAAGAGGAAATATCTTCAAATAAATACTACACAGAAGCATTCTGAGAAACTTCTTTGTGATGTGTGCATTCATCCCACAGAGTTGAAACTATCTTATGATTGAGCAGTTTTGAAACACTCTCTTTGTAGAATCTGAAAGTGAATACCTGGGGCACTCTGTGTCCTATTGTGGAAAACGAAATATCTTCACATAAAAACTACACAGAAGGATTCTGAGAAACTTCTTTGTGATGTGTGCATTCATTTGACAGAGTTGACAGTTTCTTTTGATTGAGCAGTTTTGAAACACAGTTTTTGTAGAATCTGCAAGTGGATATTTGGAGCCCTTTGAGGCCTACTGTGGAAAAACAAATATCTTCACATAAAAACCACACAGAGGCATTCTGAGAAACTACTTTGTGATGTGTGCATTCATCTCACAGTGTTGAAACTTTCTTTTGATTGAGGAGTTTTGAAACACTGTTTTGTAGAATCTGCAAGAGGATGTTTGGAGCGCTTTGAGGCCTATTTTGGAAAACGAAATAATTTCACATAAAAACTACACTGAAACATTCTGAGAAACTAATCATTCTGAGAAACTAATTTGTGATGAGTGCATTCATCACATAGATTTGAACTTTTCTTTTGATTGAGCAGTTTTGAAACTCTCTTTTTGTAGAATCTACAGGTAGATAATTGGAACGCTTTCAGGACTATTGTGGAAAAGGAAGTATCTTCACATAAAAACTACACAGAAGCATTCGGAGAAACTTCTTTGTGATGTGTGCATTCATCTCACAGAATTGAACCTATCTTATGATTTAGCAGTTTTGAAATAACCTCTTTGTAGAATCTGCAAGTGGATATTTGGAGCGTTTTGAGGCTTTTTGTGGAAAAGGAAATATCTTCACATAAACACTAGACAAAAGCATTCTGAGAAACTTCCTTGTGATGAGTGCATTCAACGCATAGATTTCAACATACCTTTTGATTGAGCAGTTTTGAATCTCTCTTTTTGTAAAATCAGCAAGTGGATATTTTGAGCCCTTTGCAGCCTATGGTGGAAAAGGAAATATCTTCAAATAAAAACTACACAGAAGCATTCTGAGAAACTTCTTTTTTATGTATGCATTAAACTCTGAGAATTGAACTTATCTTTTGCTTGAGTAGTTTTGAATCTCTCTTTTTGTAGAATCTGCAGGTGGATATTGGGAGATATTAGTGGCCAATGGAGAAAAAGGGAATATCTTCAAATAAAAACTACACAGAAGCATTCTGAGAAACTTTTTTGTGATGTGCGCTTTCATCTCACAGAGTTTAACCTATCTTATGATTGATCAGATTTGAAACATTGGCTTTGTAGAATCTGCAAGTGGATATTTGGAGATCTTTTAGGCCTACGGTGGAAAAGGATTTATCTTCCCATAAAAACTACAAAGAAGCATTCAAAGAAACTTCTTTGTGATGTGTGCATTCAACTCACAGAGTTGTACCTATCTTTTGGTTGAGCAGTTTTGAATTTCTCTTTTTGTAGAATCTGCAAGTG
>NT_187425.1:28160-32222 GCF_000001405.40 Homo sapiens
TTCTGAGAACGTGTTTGTGAGATGTGCATTCATCTCACAGACTTGAACCTTTCTTTCTATTGAGCAGTTTTGAAACACTCTTTTTGTAGAATCTGCAAGGGATATTTGAAGAGCTTTGAGGCCTAATGTGGAAAAGGAATTATCTTCACATGAAAACTAGACAGAAGCATTCTGAGAATCTTCTTTGTGAAGTGTGCATTCATCTCACAGAGCTGAAACTTTCTTTTGATTCAGCAGTTTTGAAATACTCTATTTATGGAATCTGCTTGTGGATTTTTGGAGCGCTTTGAGGCATGTGGTGGAAAAGGAAATATCGTCACATGAAAACTAGACAGAAGCATTCTGAGAAAATTCTTTGTTATGTGCGCATTCAACTCACAGAGTTGAACCTTTCTTTTGATTGAGCAGTTTGGAAACACTCTTTTTGTAGTATCTGCAAGTGGATATATGGAGCGCTTTGTGGCCTATAGTGGATAAGGAAATATCTTCAAATAAAAACCAGACAGAAGCATTCTGAGGAACTTCTTCGTGTTGTGTGCATTCATCTCACAGAGTTGAACATTTCCTGTGATTGGGAAGTTTGAAACACTCTTTTCACAGAATCTGCAAGTTGATATTTGGAGTGCTTTGAGGCCTATATTGGAAAAGGAAATATCTTCACATATATACAGGACAGAAACATTCTGGGAAACTACTTTGTGATGTGCATTCAATTCACAGAGCTGAACATTTCCTTTGATTGAGCTGCTTGGAAAGCGTCTTTCTGTAGTGTCTGCAAATGGACATTTTGAGTGCTTTGAGGCCTATGGTGGAAAAGGAAATATCTTCATATAAAAACTAGACAGAAGCATTCTGAGAAAATTCTTTGTGATGTGTGTATTCAGCTCACAGAGTTGAACATTTCTTTTGATCGAGCAGTTTGGAAGCAGTCTTTTTGTAATATCTACAAATGGATATTTGCATCACTTTACTTCATGGAATGGAAAAGGAAACATCTTCACATAAAAATTAGATAAAAGCATACTGAGAAACTTCTTTGTGATGTGTCCATTCATCTCATAGAGTTAAATCTTTCTTTTGATTGAGCAGGTTTGAAACACCCTTTTTGTAGAATCTGCAAGTGGATATTTGGAGCGCTCTGTGGCCAATAGTGGAAAAGGAAATATCTTCATAAAAAAAATAAACAGAAGCACTCTGAGAAACTTCTCTGTGTTGTATGCAGTCATATCTCAGACGTGAAACTTTCTTTGGTACAGCAGTTTTAAAACACTCTTTTTGGAGATTCTGAAAGTAGATATTTGGAGAGACTTGAGGACTACGGTGGAAAAGGAAATATCTTCACAAAAAAACTAGACAGAAACATTCTGAGAAGCTTCTTTGTGATGTGTGCATCCATCTCAAAGAGTTGAACCTTTCTTTTGATTGAGCATTTTTGAAGCACTCTTTTTGTAGAATCTTCAAGTGGATATTTGGAGTGTTTGTGGCCTGTGGTGGAAAAGGAAATATATTCACATAAAAACTAGACAGAAGCATTCTGAGAAACTTCTTTGTGATGTGCTCATTCAACTCACAGAGTTGAACTTTTCTTTTGATTGAGCAGTTTGGAAACAGTCTTTTTGTAGAATCTGCAAGTGGATATTTGGAGCGCATTACGGCCTATGGTGGAAAACGAAATATCTTCACATAAAAACTAGACAGAAGCATTCTGAGAAACTTCTTCGTGATGTGCTCATTCAACTCACAGAGTTGAACTTTTCTTCTGTTTGAGCAGTTTGGAAACAGTCTTTTTGTAGAATCTGCAAGTGGATATTAGGAGTGCATTACGGCCTATAGTGGAAAATGAAATATCTTCACATAAAAACTAGACAGAAACATTATGAGAAACTGCTTTGTGATGCGTGCATTCATCACCAGAGTTGAATTTCTCTTTTGATTGAACAGTTTTGAAACACTCTTTCTGTAGAATCTGAAGGGAATATTTGGAGCGCTTTGCAGCCTATGGTGAAAAAGGAAATATCTTCACATAAAAGCTAGACAGAAGCATTCTAAGAAAGTGCTTTGTGATGTGTGCATTCATCTCACAGTGTTGAACCTTTCTTTTGATTGAGCAGTTTTGAAACACTCTTATTGTAGAATCTGCAAGTGGATATTTGGAGAGTTTGAGGCCACTGGTGGAAAAGCAAATATCTTCACATAAAAACTAGACAGAATCATTATAAGTAATCTCTTTGAGATGCGTGCATTCAACTCACAGAGTTGGACATTTCCTTTGATTGAGCAGTTTGGAAACAGTCTTTTTGCAGTATCTGCAAACGGATATTTGGAGCACTTTCAGGCCTATAGTAGGAAAGGAAATATCTTCACATAAAAACTAGACAGAAAATTACTGAGAAACTTCTTAATGATGTGTGCATTCATCTCACAGAGTTGAAACTTTCTTTTGATTGAGCAGTTTGGAAACAATCTTTTAGTAGAAACTGCAAGGGGATATTTGGAGCGTTTTGTGGTCTATGGTAGAAAAGGATATATCTTCACATAAAAATAGAAGCATTCTGAGGAACTTCATGATGTGTGCATTCATCTCAAAGAGTTGAACTTTTCTTTTAATTGAGCAGCTTTGAAAAACTCTTTCTGCAGAATCTGCAAGTTGATATTTGGAGTGCTTTGTGGCCTATAGTAGAAAAGGAAATATCTTTACATAAAACTAGACAGAAGCATTCTGAGAAACTTCTTTGTGATGTGTGCATTCATCTCACAGAGTTGAATCTTTCTTTTGTTTGAGCAGTTTTGAAACTCTCTTTTTGTAGAATCTTCAAGTGGATATTTTCAGTGCTTTGAGGCCTATGGTGGAAAAGAAAATATCTTCACATAAAAACTACTCAGAAGCATTCTGAGAAACTTCTTTGTGATGTGTGCATTCAACTCATGGAGTTCAACCTTTCTTTTGATTCAGCAGTTTGGAAACAGTCTTTTTACAGTAACTGCAAGTGGATATTTGGAGAGCTTTGAGGTCTATGGTGGAAAAGGAAATATCTTCCCATAAAAACTAGACAGCAGCATTCTGAGAAACTTATTTGTGATCTGTGCATTCATCTCACAGAGTGGAACCTTTCTTTTGATTCAGCAGTTTTGAAACTGTCGTTTTGTAGAATCTGCAAAGGGATATTTGTGAGCCCATTGAGGCTTCTGGGGTGATAGGAAATATCTTCACATAAAAACTAGACAGATACTTTCTGAGAAACTATTTTGTCATGTGTGACTTCTACTCACCGGGTTGAAACTTTCTCTTGATTGAGCAGTTTGGAAACGGTCTTTTTGTAGAATCTGCAAATTGATATTTGGAGTGCTTTTGGCCTATGTTGAAAAACAAAATATCTTCCCATAAAAAGTAGGCAGAAGTTTTGGAGAAATTTATTTTGATGTGCGCATTCATCTCACACAGTTGAAATTTTCTTTTGATTGAGCAGTGTGGATACACTCGTTTTGTAGAGTCTGCAAGTGGATATTTGGAGCACTTTGTGGCCTATAGTGAAAAAGGAAATATCTTCACATAAAAACTAGACAGAAGAATTCTGAGAAACTTCCTTTGAATGTGCGCATTCATCTCACATTGTTGAACTTTTTTTTTTGATTGAGCACCTTCTAAACAGTCATTTTGTAGAATATGCAAAGGAATATTTGTGAGCCCATTGATGCCTCTGGGGAAATAGGAAATATCTTCACATAAAAACGAGACAGAATCTTTCTCAGAAACGTCTTGGTGATGTGTGCATTCATCTCACTGAGTTGAACTTTATTTTGATTGAGCAGTTTGGAAACAGTCTTTTCTAGTATCTGCAAATGGATATTTTAAGCACTCTGAGGCCTACGGTGAAAAAGGAAATATCTTCAATATAAATCAGACAGAAGCATTCATAGAAACTTCTTTGTGATGTGTGCATTCGTCTCACCGACTAGAACCTTTCTTTTGATTGAGCAGTTTTGAAACACTCTTTTAGCAGAATCTGCAAGTGTTTATTTGGAGTGCATGAGGATATGGTGGAAAAGGAATCTTCTTCACAT
>NT_187425.1:43519-49834 GCF_000001405.40 Homo sapiens
CCTCTGCAGATTCTAGAAAGGACTCTTTTCAAACTGCTCAATCAAAAGAAAGGTTCAACTCTGTGAGATGAATGGACACATCACAAAGTAGTTTCTCCAAAAGCTTCTGTCCACTTTTTATGTGAAGATATTTCCCTTTTCACCATACCTATCAAAGCGCTCAAAATATCCTTTTGCAGATTCTCTGAAAAGACTGTTTCCAAACTTCTCAGTCAAAAGAATGGTTCAACTCTGTGAGATGAATGCATATATCACAAAGAAGTTTCTCTGAAATCTTCTGTGTAGTTTTTATGTGAAAACATTTCCTTTTTTACCACAGGCCTCAAGCCACTCACAAATATCCCTTTGCAGATTTTACAAGAACAGAGTTTCCAGACTCATCAAAGAATAGATACTTTTATCTCTCTGAGATGAGGGCAAACCTTGCAAAACAGCTTCTCAGAAACATTGTTTATAGTTTTTATTGAAGATATTTCCTTTCTCACCATAGGCCTCAAAGGGCTCACAAATATCCCATTGCAGATTCTACAAATTGACAGTTTTCAAACTGTTCAGTCAAAAGACTGTTTCAACTATGTGAGATGAATGCACACATGACAGGGAGGTTTCTCAGAGAACTTCTGTCTATTTATTATGTGAAGGTATTGCCTTTTTCACCAAAGGCCTCAAAGCGCTCACAAATATCTCCTTGCAGATTCTACAACAACAGAGTATCCAAACTCATTAATCAAAATAAAGCGTCACATAAAATTTCTAGAAGGAAACCTAGGTCATAGCATTCAGGACATAGGCATGGGCAAGGTCTTCATGTCTAAAACACCTAAAGCAATGGCAACAAAACTCAAAATTGACAAATGGGATCTCATTAAACTAAGGAGCTTCTGCCCAGCTAAAGAAACCACCATCAGAGTGAACAGGAATCCTATAAAATGGGAGAAAAATTTTGCAACCTACTCATCTGTCACAGGGTTAATATCCAGAATCTACAATGAACTCAGACAAATTTACAGGAAAAAAACCAAACAACCCCATCAAAAAGTGGGCAAAGGATATGAACAGACATTTCTCAAAAGAAAACATTTATGCTGCCAATGAACAATGAAAAAATGCTCATCTTCACTGGCCATCAGAGAAATGCAAGTCAAAACTACAATGAGATACCATCTCACACCAGTTAGAATGGCGATCATTAAAAAGTCAGGAAACAACAGGTGCTGGAGAGGATGTGAGAAATAGGAACACTTTTGCACTGTTGGTGGGACTGTTAACTAGTTCAACCATTGTGGAAGTCGGCATGGCGATTCCTCAGGGATCCAGAACTAGAAATACCACTTGACCCAGCCATGCCATTACTGGGTATATACCCAAAGGACTATAAATCATGCTGTTATAAGGACACATGCACACGTATGTTTATAGCGGCACTATTCACAATAGCAAAGACTTGGAACCAACGTAAATGTCCAACCACGGTAGACTGGATGAAGAAAATGTGGCACATATACATCATGGAACACTATGTGGCCATAAAAAATGATGAGTTGATGTCCTTTGTAGGGACATGGATGAAGCTGGAAACCATCAATCTCAGCGAACTATCACAAGGACAAAAAATAAAACACCACATGTTCTCACTCATAGTTGGGAATTGATCGAAGAGAACACATGGACACAGGAAGGGAAACATCACACACCACACACCAGGGATTGTAGTTGGGTGGGAAGAGGGGTAGGGGGAGGGATAGCATTAGGAGGTATACCTAATGCTAAAAGATGAGTTCATGGGAGCAACACACAAACATGGCACATGTATACATATGTAATAAACCTGCACGTTGTACACATGTTCCCTAAAACTTAAAGTATAATAATAATAAAATTAAATAATTAAAAAATAAACCCAGAGCTCCAAAAAAATTAGAATGGTTCAACTCTATGAGATGAATGCATAAATCACAAATATGTTCCTCAGAAAGCTTCTGTCTACATTTTATATGAAGATATTTCCTTTTTCACCATAAGCCTCAAAGTGCTCACAAATATCCCTTTGCAGATTCTACAAGAAAAGAGTTTCCCATCTACTCAATGAAAAGAAATATTTACCTCTGTGAGATGAATGCACACATTACAAAGCAGTTTCTCAGAAACCTTCTGTAGAGTTTTTATGTGAAAATATTTCCTTTTTCCCCGTAGGACTCAAAGCGCTCACAAATATCCCTTTGCTGATTCTACAAAAAGACTGTTTCCAAACTGCTCAATCAAAAGAATGGTTCAACTGTTTGAGAGAAATGCACACATAAAACAGAAGTTCTCAGAAAGCTTCTGTCTAGTATTCATGTGAAGATATTTCCTTTCACACCATTGGCCTCCAAGTGTACACAAATATCCCTTTGCAGATTCTACAAAAAGACTGTTTCCAATGTGCTAAATCAATATAAAGGTTGAAGTCTGTGAGATGAATTCAAACATCACAGAGCACTTTCTCAGACACCATCTTTCTAGTTTTGCTGTGAAGATATTTATTTTTTCACCTCAGGCTTCAAAGCACTCACAAATATCCTTTTGTAGATTCTACAACAAGACTTTTACCAAACTGCTCAATCAAAAGAATGGTTAAACTCTGTGAGGTGAATGCAAATATCACAAAAAAGTTTCTCAGAAATCTTCTGTCTAGATTTTATGTGAAGATCGGAGTGCAGTGGAATGAAATGGAATGGAACAGAATGGAAGGGAATGGAATTGAGTGGACTGGAATGGAACGGAATGGAAAGGAGTACAGTGGAGTGGTGACAATTGGAGTGGAGTGGAGTGGAGTGGAAAGGAGTGCAACCGAATGGAGGGGATTTGAAAGGAATGGGACGGGATGGAGTGCACCCGACAGGATTGGAGTCAAATGGAATAGAGTGGACTGGAATGGAGTGGGGTGGATTGGGATGAAGTGGAGTGGAAAGGAGTGGATTAAAGTGGAGTGGAGTGAATTGGAGAGTGGAGTGGAGTGGAGTTGATGGAGTGCAATGGAATGGAATGGGATGGAATGGAATGGAATAGAGTGGAAAGGAATGGAATAGAGTGGAATGGAATGGAGTGGAGTGGAAAGGAATGGATCAGAGTGGAATGGACTGGAGTGGAGTGGAGTGAAGAGGAGTGGAATGGAGTGGAATGGAGTGAAATGGAGTGGAGTGGAATGGAGTGGAGTGGAATGCAATGGAGGGGAATGGAATGGAATGGAACGGAACTGAATGGAAAGGAATGGAAAGGAGTGGAATGGAGTGCAGTGGAGTGCAGTGGAGGTGAGAGGAGTGTATCAGAATGCAGTAGAATAGAATGAAATTGAATGGAATGGAGTGGAGTGGATTGGAGTGGAGTGAAGAGGAGAGGAAAGGAGTGGAATGGCATGGATTAGAGTGGGATGGAATACAATGGAAAGGAATGGAATGCGACAGAATGGAACGGAATGGAGAACAGAAGAGTGGAGTTGAGTGGAGTGGATCAGAGTGCAGTGGAATGGAATGGAATGGAATGCAAAGCAATGGAGTGGAGTGGAATGGAGTGGAGTGGAGTGGACTGGTATGGAATGGAATGGAGTGGAGTGTAATGTAAAGGACTGAAGTGGAATGAAATGGAGTGGAGCGGAGTGGAATGGAGTGGAGTGGAGTGGAATGGCATGGAGAGGAGTGGAAGGGAGTGGAGTGGAGTGGAATGGAGTGGAGTGGGGTGGAGTGCAGTTGAGTGGAGTGGAGTTGAGTGGAGTGGATCAGAGTGCAGTCGAATGGAATGGAATGGGGTAGAGAGGAGTGGAGTAGGGAGGAATTTAACGGAAAGGAGTGGATTGAAATGAAGTGGAGTGGAAAGGAATGGAATGGAAAGGAATGGAATGTAATGGAAAGGAGTGGAATGGAACAGAATGGAGTGGAGTGGAGTGCAGAGGAGTTGAGTTGAGTGGATGAGAGTGCAATGGAATGGAATGGAATGGAATGAAATGGAATAGAGTGGAGTGGAATGGAGTGGAGTGGAATGGAATGGAATGGAGGTGAATGGAATGGAATGGAACACAATGGTGAAAGGAAATGAGAACTAAGATTGTGTCACTGCACTACAGTCTGGGAGACAGAGTTACATCCAATTGAAATAAAGGAATGGAATGGAATGGAGTAGAGTGGAATTGAATGGAGTGGAGTGGAATGGAACAGAAAGGAAAGGAGTGGAATGGAGTGGAGTGGACAGTAACGGAAAGGAGTGGAATGGAGTGGAGAGGAATGGAGTGGAAGTGAATGAAATGGAATGGAGTAGAAGGCAATGGAAATTAATGGAATGACTTGGAATGGAGTATAATGGAGTGGAGTGGGGTGGAATGGAGTGTATTGGAATGGAGTGGAATGCAACGGAATGGAATGCAGTGGAATGGAATGGAGTGCAGTGGAGTGGAGTGCAGTGGAATGGAGTGGAATGTTGTGGAATGGAGTGGAATGGAATGGAGTGGAATGGAGTTGAGTGGAATGGAACGGAATGGTACAGAATGGAAGGGAACAGAATAGAATGGAGTGGAGTTGAGTGGAGTGTTGTGGAGTTGAGTGGAGTGGACCGGAGTGCAGTGGAATGGAACGGAGTGGAGTGGAGTGGAGTGGAATGGAGTATAATGGAGTGAAATGGAATGGAGTGCAGTGGAATGGAGTGGAATGGAATGGAATGGAATTGAATGGAATGGAATGGAACAGAAGGGAAAGGAGTTGAGTGGAGTAGTGTGGAGATGAGTGGAGTGGATTGGACTGCAGTTCAATGGAATGGAATGGAATGGAAAGGAATGGAGTGGAGTGGAGTGGAATTGAATCAAATGGACTGAAAAGGAAAGGAATGGATTGGAATGCGGTGGAGTGGAATGAACTTGAATGGAATGTACTGGAACGGAATAGACTCGAAGGGAATGGACTCGAATCAAATGGAATCAAATGGAAAGCAATGGAATGGAATGGAATGCACTTGAATGGATTGGACAGGAATGGAATGGACTCGAATGGAATGGAATCAAATGGAATGGAATAGAATGAAATGGAATGGAATGGAGTGAAATGGAATGGATTCGGGAGGAATGGACTCGAATGGAATGGACTCGTGTGGAATGGACACGAGTCAAATGGACTAGAATGGAATGGACACGAGTGGAATGGACTCGAATGCAATTGACTCGGGCCGAATGGACTCGAGCCGCATGGACTCCAATGGAATGGAATGGAATGGAAAGGAATGGAATGGACTTGAAGGGAATGGACTCGAATTGAACAGAATCATAGGGAAAGGAATGGAATGGAATGGAATGGACTTGAATGGATTGGACAGGAATGGAATGGACTCTAATGGAACGGAATTGAATGAAATGGGAAGGAATGGAATGGATAGAAATGGAATGGAATCGAGTGGAAGGGACTCGAGCGGAATAGACTCCAGTCAAATGGACTAGAATGGAATGGACACGAGTGGAATAAACTCCAATGCAGTGGACTCAGGTAGAATGGACTCGAGCCAAATGGACTCCAATGGAATGGAATGGAATGGAATGGAATAAAATGGAATGGAGTGGAATGGAGTCGAATGGAATGGACTTGAATGGAATATAATGGAATATAATGGAATGGAACCAACTGGAATGGAATAGACTCCAATGTAATGGAATCGAATGGAAAGCAATCGAATGTAATGTAATGGAATAGAACGGAATGGAATGGAATGGAATGGAATCGAATGGATTGGACTCGAATGGAATGGGCCCGAATGGTATGGAATCGAATGGAAGGGGATCGAATGGAATGGAATCGAATGGAATGGAATCAAATGTAATGTCCTGGAATGGAATGGACTCAAATGGAATGGACTCCAATGGAATGGACACTAATGGAATGGACTCGAAGGGAATGGAATCGAGTGGAATGGAATCGAATGGAATGGAATCGAATGCAATGCAATCGAATGGAATGAACTGCAATGGAATGGAGTGGAACGGAATGGACTTGAATGAAATGGATTGCAATGGAATGGACTCAAAATGAATGGAATCACATAACATGGAATCGAGTGGAATGGAATGGTATGCAATGGAATGGAAAGGAATGGTATCGAATGGAATGCAATCTTATGGAATGCAATAGAATGTAATGTAATCGAATGGAATGGAATCGAATGAAATGCAGTCGAATGGAATGGAAACAAATGGAATGGAATAGAATAGAATAGAATGGAATCTAATGGAATGGAATGGAATGGAATGGAATGGAATGGAATGGAATGGAATTGAATTGAATGAAATGGACTCCAATGGAATGG
>NT_187425.1:56113-62681 GCF_000001405.40 Homo sapiens
TGAAAGGAGTAGAGTGGAGTGGAGTGTAAAGCAGTGGAATGGAATGGAATAGGAAGGAATGGAAATGAACGGAATGGAGTGGTTTGGAGTGGAATGCAATGGAATGCAATGGAATGGAATGCAATGGAGTGGAATGGACTTGAATGGAATGGACTTGTGTGGAATGGACTAGAGTCAATTGGACTAGAATGGAATGGACTCGAGTGGAATGGACTCAGGTCGAATGGACTCGGATGGAATGGACTCGAATGGAATGGACACGAATGGGATGGAATCGAATGGAAATGAATGGAATGGAATGCCATGGAATGGAATGGAATAGACTCGAATGAAATGGACTGGAATGGAATGGACTCGAATGGAATGGAATCTAATAGAAGGGAATGGAATGGAATGGAATACAATGGAATGGAATGAACTCGAATGGAATGGACTAGAATGGAATGGATTCGAATGGAATGGACTCGAAAAGAAAGGACCTGAATCGAATGGAATCAAATGCAATGGAACGGAATGGAATGGAATGGAGTGTAATGGAATGGACTCAAGAGAACTGGACTCGAATGGAATGGACTTGAATGGAATGGACTTGAGTCAAAGGGACTTGCATGGAATGGACTCGATCGGAATGGAGTCGAATGAAATGGTATTCACTGGAATAGAATGGAATGGAATGGAATGGAATGGAAAGGAATGGAATGGAATGGAATGGAATGGAATGGAATGGAATGGACTCGGATGGAATGGATTTGAATGGAATGGACTCGAATGGAACGGAATCGAATGGAATGGAATCGAATGAAATGGAATGGAATGGGTTTGAATGGAATGGACTCGAATGGAATGGAATCGAATGGAATGGAATCGAATGAAATGGAATTGAATGGAACTAAATGGAATGGAATCAAATGGAATGGAAAGGTCTCCTTGGGAATTGGGTCGTATGTACTGGACAGGAATGGAATTTACTGGAATGGAATGGACTCAAATGTAATTAAATCATATGGAATGGATTGGAACAGAATGTACTCGAATGGAATGGAATAGAATGGAATGGAAACAAATGGAATGGAATTGAATTGAATGGACTCCAATGAAATGCAATAGAATGGAATGGAATCGAGTGGCAATGAATGGATTTGAATGGAATGCTGTGAAGTGGAGTTTAGTGGATTGGGATGGAGTGGAATGGAAAGGAATGGGAAGAAATGGAACTGAACGGAATGGAGTGGTGTGTAGTGAAGTGGTATGGAGTGGAATGAAATGGAATCGAATGGAATTGGGTGAAGTGGAATGGAATGCAATGGAATGCAACTGAGAGGAGTGGAGTGGAATGGAATGGAACGGAATGGAATGGAATGGAGTAGGGTGGAGTGGAGTGGAGAGGAATGGAGTGGAATGGAGTGGACTAGAGTAGAGTGCAGTGGAATGGAATGGAGTGGAGTGGAGTGGAGCATATTAGAAGGGAGTGGAATGGAGTGGAGTGGAATGGAACAGAGTGGAGTGGAGTGGAATGGAATGGAAAGGAATCGAATGGAATGAAGTGGAGTGGAATGGTATGGAATGGAATGGAATGAAATAGAATGGACTCGAAAGGAATGGACTCAAATGCAACAGACTGGAATGGAATGGACTGCAATGGAATGGACTGGAATGTAACGGAATGGAATGGATTGGAATCAAATGGAATGTAATCGAATGAAATGGAAACTAATGGAATGGCATAGAATGGAATCGAATGGAATGTGTTGAAGTGGAGTGGAGTGGACTGGAATGGAGTGGAATGGAATGGAATGGAATGGAGTGGAGTGGAGTAGAATGGAGTCAAGTGGAGTGGAGTGGAGTGGCTTGGAGTGGAGTTGAATGGAATGGAATGGAATGGGATGCAATGGAATGGACTGCACTGCAATTGAACGGACTCGAATGGAATGGACGGGAATGGAATCGACTGGAATGGAAGGGACTTGAATGCAATGGACTCAAACGGAGTGGAATGAAATTAAATGAAATCGAATGGCAAGGAATCGAATGGAATGGAATCAAGTGGAATAGAATCAAACAGCATCAAATGGAATCAAATGGTATCAAATGGAATGTGGTGATGTGGGGTGGAGAGGAGTGGATTTGAGTGGAATGGAATGGGGTGGAACACAATTGAATGGAGTAGATTGGAGTGAAGTGCTATTGAGTGGAATGGAATGGAATGGGAAGGAATGGAACTGAATGGAGTGGTGTGGAATGGAGTGGAGTGCAGTGGAGTGGAGAGGAATGGAATTGAATGGAGTGGTGTGGAATGGAATGGAGTGGAGTGGAGTGGAATGGAATGGAATGGAATGAAATAGAGTGGAGTGGAGTGGAATGGAATGCAATGGAATAGAATGAATTAAAATGGAATGGGCTCGAATGGAATTGGCTCAAATGGAATGGACTTGAAGGGAATGCATTTGAATGGAATGAAATCGAATGGAATAGATTGGAACGGAATGGAATCGATTGGAATGGAATCAAATGGAATGGAATCGAATAGCATCGAATGGAATTGAATGGATTTCTGTGACGTGGAGTCTATTGGAGTGGAATGGAGTGGAATGGAATGGGGTGGAATTGAAATGAATGCAGTGAAGTGGAGAGGAGTGGAATGGAATGGAATGTGAAGGAATTGGATTGAACGGAGGGGAATAGAATGGAGTGGAGTGGAGTGGAATGCATTGGAATGTAATGGAATTAAGTGGAGTGGAGTGGAGTGCAATGTAATGGAATGGAATGGAATGGAAGGGATTGGCATGGAGTGGATGGGAATGGAATGGAATGGACTGGAGTGCAATAGACTCGAATGAAATGCTATCGAATGGAATGGAATTTAATGGAATGGTCTGTAATGGAATGGAGTCGTATGGATTGGGTTCGAATGGAAAGGAATCAAATGGAATACAATCGAACGGAATGGAACCAAATGGACAGGAATCAAACTGAATGGAATCGAAGGGAACAGAATCGAAAGGAATGGAATCAAATGGAATGGAATCGAATAGAATGGCAACGAATGGTATCGAATGGAATGTGGTGAAGTGGAGGGGAGAGGTGTGGTATGAAGTGCAATGGAATGGGATGGAATGGAATTCAATGGAGTTGAATGGAGTCGAATGGAATGGAATGCAATGGAATGCAATGTAATGGAAAGAAAAAGAATAGAATGGAATGCACTCGAATGGAATGTAGTTGAACGGAATGGACTCGAATGGAATGGAGTGCAATGGAATGAACTGGAATGGTATGGACTTGAAAGGAATGGACTGGAATGGAATGGACTGGAATGGAATGGAATTGAATAGAATGGAATCGAATGGAATGGAATCGAATGGATTGTAATTGAATGGAATGGAATGGAATGGAATGGAATGGAATAGAGCGGAATGGAGTCGAACGGGATGGAAATGGATGGAATGGAATCGAATGCAATGGAATAGAATACAATTGAATAGAATGGAAGGGAAAGGAATGGCATCGAATAGCATCGAATGGAATGCAGTGAAGTTGAGTGCAATTGAGTGGAGTGGTGTGGAAAGGAAAGAGGTGGAATTTAACTGAATGGAGTGCAATGGAATGAAGAAGAATTGAGTTGAATGTTATGGAATGAGAAGGAATGCAATGGAATGGAATGGAGTGCAGTGGTTTGGAGTGGAATGGAATCGAATGGAATTGTGTGATATAGCGTGGAATGGAGTGGAGTGGAGTGGAATGTAATGGAATAGAGTCGAGTGGAGTAGAGTGCAGCGGACTGGAATGGAGTGGAATGGAAAGGAATGGAGTAGAATTGTGTGGAGTAGAGTGGAGTGCTATGCGATGGAATAGAAAGAAATGGATTGGATTGGGGTGGAGTGCAGTGGAATGGAATGGAATGTGTAGAAACGGAATGCGGTGGAGTGGAGAGGAAAGGAGTGGAATGAAATGGAGTTTACTGAAATGGAATGGAAAGGTATGGAGTGGAGTGGAGTGTTGTGGAGTGGAGTGGAGTGGAATGGAATGGAATGAAATGGAAAGGAATGGACTGGAATGAAATGGAATCGACTGGAATGAAATGGAATCGGATGGAAGGCATCGAACGGAATGGAATCAAATGGAATTGAATAAAGTGGAATGGAATCAAATTGAAAGGAAACGAAAGGAATGGAATCGATTGGAAAGGAATCAACAACATCGAATGGAATTGAAAGGAAAGTGGTGAAGTGGAGTGGAGAGGAATGGAGAGGAAAGGAAAAGGGTGGAATGCAATTGAATGGAGTGGAGTGGAGTGGAATGGAGTGGAATGGGAAGGATTGTTATTGAATGGACTGGAGAGGAGTGCAGTGCAATGGAATGGAATGGAATGGAGTGGAGTGGAATGGAGGAGACTGGAATGCAATGGAAAGTATAGGAGTGGAGTGGAATGGAATGGACTTTAATGGAATGGAATGGACACGAATGGAATGGACTCGAATGGAATGGGCTCCGATGGAATGAGATCACATGGAATGGGCTCGAATGGAATGAAATCGAATGGAATGGGATCGAATGAAATAGAATCGAATGGAATGGATCAAATGGAATGGAATAGAATACAAAGGATTCGAATTGAATCGAATGGAATCGAAATGAATGCGGAGAAGCGGAGTGGACTGGAGTGGAATGGAGTGGAAAGAAATGGGATGCAATGGATTTGAAGGTAGTTTAGTGCCGTGGAGTGGAAAGGAGTGGAATGGAATGGACTCGAATGGAATGGACTCGAATGGAATGGAATCAAATGGAATGGAATGGAGTGGAATGCAGTGATAACGAATGTAATGGAATGGAAAAAATGGACTCGAATGAAATGGACTTGAATGGAATGGACATGAACGTAATGGCCTCGAATGGAATCGATTTGAATGGAAAGGACTCGAATGGAATGGACTCCAATGGAATGGACACGAAAGGAATGGAATCGAAGGGAACGGAATCGAGTGGAATGGAATCGAATGGAATGCAATGGAATGGAATGCAATCGAATAGAATGGAATTGAATGGAATAGACCGGAATGGAATGGACTCGAATTCAGTGGAATTGAGAGGAATCGAAAATAATGAAATGTAATCAAATGGAATGGAAAAGAAAGGAATGGAATCGAATCGAATGAAATGGAATTGAATGGAATGAAATCGAATGGATTAGAATTGAATGGCATGGAAAGGAATGGATGGAATGGAATGCACTCAAATGGATTTGACTGGAATGGAATGGACTGGAATGGAATGGACACGAATGGAATGGACTGGAATTGAATGAATGGAATGGAATGCAATGCAATGGAATGGAATGGAATGGAATGGACTCGAATGGAATGCACTCGAATAGAATGGACAGGAATAGAAAGGACTCGAATGGAACGGAATCAAGTGGAATTGACTGGAATGGAAATGACTGGAATGAAATGAACTGGAATGGAATGGAATGGAATTGAATCGAACAGTCTGGAATGGAATGCAATTGAATGGAATGGAAAAGAATGGAGCATAATTGCTTGGATAGGAAGGTAATGGAATGGAATTGAATACACTGGAATGGAATGGAATCGATTACAAAGGAATGTCATCGAATGGTATGGAATGGAATTCAAATGAATGGAATGGAATGGAATGGAATCGAATGAAATGGACTGGAATGGAATGAACTCGAATGGAATGCAATCGTATGGAATGGAATCGAATGGAATGGAATCAAATGGAATGGAATAGAAATGAAAGGAATCGAACTGAATGGAATGGTATCGATTGGAATAGAATCGAATGGAGTGGAATGGAATGGAAGGGAAAGCAATCGATTTAAATGGAATGGAATGGAATAGAATAGAATGGAATGGAATCAAATACAATGGAAACGAATGGACTGGACTGGAATGGAATGGACTTGAATGGATTGGACTGGAAGGGAATGGACTCGAATGCACTGGAAACGAATGGAATGGAATAGAATGGAATGGATTGCAATGGAATGAAATGAAATGGAATGGAATGGACTGGAATGGAATGGAATCGAACGTAATGGACTCGAATAGAAAGGAATGGATAGGAATCGAATGGACTTGAATGGAATGGGCTCGAATAGAATGGACTGGAATAGAATGGACATGAATGGAACGGAATCGAATGGAATGGAATCCAATGCAATGGAATCAAATGAAATGGAATTCAATAGAAAGGAATCAAATGGAATGGAGTGGAATGCAATGGATTCGAAAGGAATGGAATCGAATGGAAAGGAATCGAATGGCATTGAATAGAATCAAATGGAATGCGGAGAAGTGTAGTGAAGTGGAGTGGATTGGAGTCGAATGGAATGGGGTGGAATTGAATTGAATGGAGTGAAGAGGAGTGGAGTGAAATGGAATGGGATGGAATGGAATTGAATGGAGTGCAGCTAAGTGGAGTGGAATGTATTGAATTGGAATGGAATGGGAAGGAATGGAATTGAAAGGAGTAGAATGGAGTGAAGTGGACTGGAATGGAGTGGATTGCAGTGGATTGAAGTGGAATGGAATGAAATAGAATGGAA
>NT_187425.1:63377-64017 GCF_000001405.40 Homo sapiens
GGAGTGGAATGCAGTGGAATGGAATGGAATGGATTGGAGTGGAGTGGAATGGAGTGGAGTGGGGTGTAGAGGAGTGGAATGGAATGGAGTGGAGTGGAGTGCAGCGGAGTTGTGTAGAGTGGCATGGAATGTGGTGGAGTGCAGTGGAGTGGAGTGGAATGGAATGTACTGCAATGCAATGGACTGGATTGGAATGGACTCCAATTGAATGGCCAAAAATGGAATGGACTCAAATGGAATGCAATGGAATGGAATCAACTGGAATGGGAAGGACTCGAATAGATTGGACTTGAATGGAATGGAAACGAATAGAATGGAATAGATTGAAATGGAATTGAATGGAATTGAATCGAATGGCATCGAATGGAATCGAATTGAATGCAGAGAAGTTTAGTGGAGTGGAGTGGAATGGAATGGGATGAAATGGAATTGAATGGAGTGGAGTGGAGTGGAGTGCAGTGGAACGGAGAGGAATGGAATGGAATGGGATGGAATTGAATTGAGCAGAGAGGAGTGGAGTGGAGTGCAGTGGAATGGACTGGAATGGAATAGAATGCAATGGAATGGAATGGAAAAGAATGGAAAAGAGTGGAATGGATTGGAATTGAATGGAATGGACTGGAATGGAATGGACTCGATT
>NT_187425.1:64209-112505 GCF_000001405.40 Homo sapiens
AAATGGAATGGAATCCAATGGACTGGAATCGAATAGCATAGAATGAAATTGAAAGGAATGTGGTGAAGTAGAGTGTAGTGGAGCGGAATGGAGTGGAATGGAATGGGGTGGAATGGAATTGAATTGAGTGGAGTGGAGTGGAATGGAATGCAATGGAAAGGAATGGGAACGATTGGAATTGAACACAGTGGAGTTGAGTGGATTGGACTGGAATGGAATGGAATGGAATAGAATCAAATGCAATGGAATCGAATGGAATGGAAAAGAAAGGAATAGAATCGAATCGAATGAAATGGAATTGAATGGAATGAAATCAAATGGATTAGAATTGAATGGCATGGAAAGGAATGGATGGAATGGAATGGACTCAAATGAATTTGACTGAAATGGAATGGACTGGAATGGAATGGACACGAATGGAACGGACTCGAATGGAATGGAATGGAATGAAATGGAATGGAATGGAATGGAATGGACTCGAATGGAATGCACTTGAATAGAATGGACAGGAATAGAAAGGACTCGAATGGAAAGGAGTCAAATGGAATTGACTGGAATGGAAATGACTGGAATGGAATGGACTGGAATGGAATGGACTGGAATGGAATGGAACGGTCTCGAATGGAATGAAATCGAAAGGAATGGAAAAGAATGGAATTTAATCGATTGGATAGGAAAAGGAATGGAATGGAATGGAATGGAATACACTGGAATGGAATGGAATCGATTCCAATGGAATGTCATCGAATGGTAGGGAATGGAACGCAAAGGAATGGAATGGGATGGAATCGAATCGAAAGAAATGGACTGCAATGGAATGAACTCGAATGGAATGGACTCGAATGTAATGGAATCGTATGGAATGGAATCGAATGGAATGGAAACAAATGGAATAGAAAGGAAAGGAATCGAATCAAATGGAACGGAATCGATTGGAATAGAATCGAATGGAGTGGAATGGAATGAAATAGAATGCAATCAATTAAAATGGAATGGAATGGAATAGAATAGAATGGAATGGAATCAAATGCAATGGAAACGAATGGACTGGACTGGAAAGGAATAGATTCGAATTGATTGGAATGGAACGGAATGGACTCGAATGCACTGGAATCAAATGGAATGGAATAGAATGGAATGGATAGCAGTGGAATGAAATGGAATGGAATGGAATGTACTCGAATGGAATGGACTGGAATGGAATGGATTTGAATGAAATGGAATTGAACGCAACAAACTCGAATGGAAAGGAATGGATAGGAATGGAATGGACTCGAATGTAATGGACTCGAATAGAATGGATTGGAATACAATGGACATGAATGGAATGGAATCGAATGGAATCGAATCCAATGGAATGGAATCTAATGAAATGGAATCAAATAGAAAGGAATCAAATGGAATGGAGTGGAATGCAATGGATTAGAAAGGAATGGATTCGAATGGAATGGAATAGAACGCCATTGAATAGAATCAAATGGAATGCGGAGAAGTGTAGTGGAGTGGAGTGGAATGGAGTCGAAAGGCATGGAGTGGAATTGAATTGAATGGAGTGAAGAGGAGTGGAGTGAAATGGAATGGGATGGAATGGAATTAAATGGAGTGCAGTTCAGTGGAGTGGAATGTATTAAAATGGAATGGAATGGGAAGGAATGGAATTGAAAGGAGTGGAGTGGAGTGAAGTGGACTGGAGTGGAGTGGATTGCAGTGGATTGAAGTGGAATGGAATGAAATAGAATGGAATGGAATGGAATAGAATTGAATGGAATGGAGTGGTGTGGAGTGCGTGGAATGGAATGGAATGGAATGGGAAGAAATGGAATTAAACAGAGGGTAATGGAGTGGAGGGCATTAGAAAGAAATGGAATGTCATGGAATGGGGTGGACTGGAGTGGAGAGGAGTCGAATCCAATGGAATTGAAAGGAGTGTAGTGGAGTGTAGTGGAGAGGAGTGGAGTGGAGTTGAATGTAGTGGAGTGGAGTGGTGTGGAGTGGATTGGTGTGGAGTGGAATGGAATGGAGTGGAGTGAAATGGAGTGGAACGGAGTGTAGTGTAGTGGAATGGACTGGATTGTAATGGATTGGAGTGGAGTAGAGTGGAATGGAGTGGAATTGAGAAGAATGGAAGGAATTGGAATGGAGTGGAATGGAATGGACTCTAATAGAATGGGATTGAATGGAATCGAATCGAATGGAATGGAATCAAATGGAATGCAATCTAACGTATGGCATTGAATGGAATGGAGCCAAATGGAATGGAATCGAATTGAACGGAATGTAATGGAGTGGAGTTGAGTGGAGTGGAGTAGAGAGGAGGTGAATGGAATGGAATGGAATGGAATGGAAGGGAAGGGAATGGAATGGAATGCAATGGAAGGGAATGGAATGGAATGGAATGGACACAAATGGAATGGAATTGAATGGAATGCAATAGAATAGAATGAAATAGGAATGCAATGCAATGGAATGGAATCCAATGGAAAGGAATTGAATAGAATCAACTGGAATGTGGTGAAGTGGAGAACAGAGGGGTGGAATGGAGTTGAAAGCAATGGGGTGGAATGGAATTGAATGCAGTGGAGTGCACTGGTTTTGAATGGAGTGGAATGGAAAGAGAAGAAATATAATTGAACGGAGTTGAGTGTAGTGGAGAGGAATTGAAAAGCAATGGAATGGATTGAAATGGAATGGAACAGAATGGAATGGAATTGAATGGAATGGAAACGAATGGCATCGAATAAAATGTGGTGAAGTGGAGTAGAGAGGAGTGGAATGGACGGGAATGGAATGGTGTGGAATGGAATTGAATGGAGCGGAGTGGATTGGAGTGGAATGGAGTAGAGTGGAATGAGAAGGAATGGAATTTAACGGAGTGGAGAGGAGTGGAGAGGAATGGAGTGGAATGGAATGGAATGGGAAGGAATGGAATTGAGCAGAGTGAATAGGAGTGTAGTGGAATGCAGTGGAATGGAATGGAATGGAATAGAAGGGAATGGACTCGAATGGAATGGAATAGAATGCAATAGAATTGAATAGAATTGATTGGAAAAGAATGGAATCGAAATGAATGGAATGGAATTGAATGGAATGGAAACAAATAGAGTGGAAAGGAATGGAATGGAATGGTCTCGAATATAGTGAAATGGAATGGAATTGAGTGCAATGGAATCAAAAGGAATGGAATGGAATCGAATGCAATGGAATGGAAGGGAATGGATTGGAATGGAACGGAATGGGATGGAACTGAATGGAATGGAAGGGAAATGAATGGAATGGAATCTAATGGAATGGAATCAAATGAAATGGAATGCAACTGAATGCAATGGAATCGAAAGGAAAGGAAAGGAATGGAACAGAATGGAATGGAACTGAATGGAATGGAATGGAATCGAATGGAATGGAACTGAGTGGTATCAAATGGATTGCGGTGAACTGGAATGGAGAGGAGTGGAATTGAGTGGAATGGAATGGAGTGGAATGGAATAGAATGGAGTGGAGTGGATTGGATTGGAACAGAGTGGAATGGAATGGGAAGGAATGGAATTGAACAGAGTGGAGTGGAGTGGAGTGGAATGCAGTGCAATGGAATGGAACGGAATGGAAATGACACGAATGGAATTGAAAGGAATGGAATGGAATGGAATAGTATCGAATGGAATGGAATGGAATTGAATGCAATGGACTCGAAAGGAATGGAATCAAATGGAATGGAAAGGAATGGAATGGAGTGGAATGGACTCGAATGGAGTAGAATGGAGTACAATGGAATCGAATGGAATGGAGTGGATTCGAATGGAAAGGAATCGAATGACATAGAATGGAATTGAATGCAAGGAATCAAATGGAACACAATCAAATGGAATGGAACCGAAAGGAATGGAATCAAATGGTATCGAAAGAAATAAAATGGAATGGAATCAAATGGCATCGAAAGGATTCGAATGGAATGCAGTGATGTTCAGTGGAGTGGTGTGCAATGGAAAGAATTGGAATGCAATTGAATGGAGTGGAGAGGAGTGGAGAGGAATGGAGTGGAATTGAATGTAATGGGAAGGAATGGAATTGAATGGAGTGGAGTGGATTGGAATAGAATGGAGTGGAGTGGATTGGAGTGGAATGGAATGGATTGTAATAGAATGGAGTGGAGTGGATTGGATTAGAATGGAGTGGAAAGGAATGGGAAGGAATGGAGTAAAGCAGAGTGGAGTGGAGTCGAGTGGAATGCAGTGGAATGGAATGGAATGGAAAGGAATGGAATGGACTCGAATGGACTGGAATCAAATGAAATGGAATGGAATGGAATGGAACAGAATGGAATGAAATCGAATGGAAAGGATTCGAAAGGAATGAAATCGAATGGAATGGAATCGAATTTAATGGAATTGAATGGAATGGACTGGAATGGAATGGAATCGAATGGAATGCTGTGAAGTGGAGTGGAGTGGAATGGAGTGGAATGGAATGGGCTGGAATGGAATAGAATGGAGTGGAGTGGAGGGAAGTTGATTGGAATGGAATGGAATGGGAAGGAAAGGAATTGAATGGAATGGAGTGCAATGTATTTGAGTGCAATTATTTGGATTTGATTGGAATGGAGTTGAGTGGAGGGGAGACGAGTGGAGTGGAGTGGAATGAAATGGATTGGAATGGAATTGAATCAAATGGAATGGACTGGAATGGATTGGATTCCAATGGAATGGGCTGGAATGGATTGGACTCAAAAGGAATGGACTCAAATGGAATGGAGTCGAATATAACGGAATGGAATGCAATGGAACGGAATGAAATGGAATGGAATCAAATGCAATGGAATCGAATGGAACGGAATCAAATAGAATGGGATTGAATGGAATGGAATCGAATGGAATGGATTCGAATTGAATGGACTCGAAAAGCATCAAATGGATTTGAAAACAATTTGGTGAAGTGGAGAGGAGTGGAATGGAGTGGAATGGAATAGGGTGGAATTTAATTGAATGGAGTGGAGTGGAGTCAGGTGGAATGGATTGGAAAGGAATTGAATGGGAAGGAATGGAATTGAACGGAGTGGAGTGGAGTGGACTGGAATGCAATGGAATGGAATGGAATGTATTACAGTGGAATGAAATGGAATGAATGGAAATGGAATTGAACGGAGAGGAGTGGAGTGGAATGGAATGTAATAGAATGGAATGGAATGAATTGGAATGGAATGTAGTGGAGTGGAATGGAGTGGATTGGAATTAAACGGAATGGAGTGGAATAGAATGGAATGGGGTGGAGTGGAGAGGAGTGGAGTGGATTGCAGTGGGATGGAGCACAATGGAAAGGAATGGAATTGAATAGAATGGAATGGAATGAATTGGATTGGAATGTAGTGGAATGGAATGGAGTGGAGTGGAATGAAATGGAGTGGAGTGGAATAGAATAGAATGGAGTGGAGTGGAGTGGATTGCAGTGGGATGGAATAGAATGGAATGGAATGGAGTGCAGCAGAATGTAGTGTAATGGAGTGGAGTGGAATGGAGTGGAGTGGAGTGGAGTGGAATGGAATGAAATGGAATGGACGCGAGTGGAATGGACTCGAATGTAATGGACCCAAACTGAATGGACCTGAATGCAGTAGACTGGAATGGAATGGCCTCGAATGCAATGGAATCTAACGGAATGGAATTCAAAGGAATGAAATTGAATGGAATGGAATCAAATGCCATGGAACTGAATGAAATCGAATGACATTGAATGGAATTGAATGCGATGCCGTGAAGTAGAGTGGAGTGGAGTGGAATGGTGTGGAATGGAATAGGGCGGAATGGAATTCAATGGAGTGGAGTGCAGTGGAATCTAACGGAATGGGATAAAATGGAATTTAAAGGAATGGAATTGAACAGAGTAGAGTGGAATGGAATGGAATGGAATGGAATGGAGTGGAGTGGAGTGAAGTGAAGTGGAGTGGAATGCAGTGGAGTGGATTGGAGTGGAATAGAGTGGAATGTAGAGGAATCGATGGGAGTCGATTTGTTTGGAGTTGAGTTGAATGGAATGGAAAGGAATGGAGTGGAGTCGAGTGGAGTGGAATTGTATGGAATGGAGTGGAATGGAGTGGAATGGAATGGAATGGATTGGAATAGATTTAAATGGAATGCAATGGAATGGAATGGAATGCATTGGAATGGGTAGGAGTGGAATTGAACGGAGTGGAGTGGAGTGCAATGCAATGGAATGGAATGGAGTATAGTGGAATGGAATATGAAGGAATGGAATGCAATGGACTCGAGTAAAATGGACTGGAGTGGAATGGACTGGGAGGGAATGGAGAGGAATGGAATGGACTCGAATGAAAAGCACCCAAATGGTGTGGAATCGAGTGGAAGGGAATCAAATTGAATGGAATACACTGGAATGGAATCGAAAGGAATGGAATCGAATGGAATGGAATTGAATAGAATGGAATCGACTGGAATGAAATGGAATGTAAAGGAACAGAATGGCATCATATTGAATCTAACGGAATGCAGTTAAGTGGAGTGGAGTGTAATGGAGTGGAATTGAATGATGTGGAACTCAATTGTATAGAGTGCAATGGAGTGGAATGGAATGGAATGGGAAGGAATGGAATTGAGTGGAGTGGAGTGGAGTGGAGTGGATTGTAATGCAATGGAATGGAATGGAATAGAGTGAAGTGGTATGGAGTGGAGTGGAGACGAGTGGAGTGTAAAGGAAAGTATGGAATGGAGTGGAATGGAATGGAGAGGAATGGAATGGAATGGAGTCGACAGGAGTGCAATGGAATGTAATGGGATAGAATGGAATGGAATGTAGTGGAGTGGAGTTGAGTGGAGTGGAGGGGAATGGAATGGAATGGAATGGAATGGAATGGAATGGAATGGAATGGAATGGACTCGAAGGGAATGTACTTGAATGGAATGGAATAGTTTGGAAAGGAATCCAATGGAATGGAATCGAATGGAACGGACTCGAATTGAATGGAATGGAATGGAACGGAAAGGAATGGAATGAAATGGAATGGAATGGAATGGAACGGAATGGAATGGAATGGAATGGAACGGAATTGAATGGAATGGAATGGAATCAAATGAAATAGAATGAATTAGAATGGAATTGAATGGAAAGGAATTGAATGGCATCGACTGGAATGCTGTGAAGTGGAGTAGAGAGGAGTGGAATGCAGTGGAATGGAATAGAGTGGAATGGAATTGAATGGAATGGAGTGGATTGGAGAAGAATAGAGTGGAATGGAATGAGAACGAATGGAATTGAATGGAGTGGAGTGGAGCAGAGCGGAGTGGAATGGAATGCAATAGAATGGAATGGAATGGAATGGAATGGAATGGAATGGAAAAGTGGAATGGAGTGGAATGCAGTGGAATAGAATGGAGTGGAGTGGAATGGAATGGAGTGAAGTGAAAAGGAATGGAAAGGACTGGAGTGGAGTGGAATGGAAAGGAAGGAAAGGAAAGGGAAGAGAATGGAAAAGAATATAATGGACTCCGACAGAATAGACTGAAACGGAATAGACTGGAATAGAATGGACTGGAATGGAATGGACTCGAATGGAATGGACTCAAATGGAATGGACTGGAATGAAATGGATTGGAATAGAATGGGCTCCAATGGAATTGACTGGAATGGAATAGTCCCGAATGGAATGGACTCAAAAGGAATGGACTGCAATGGAATGGACTGGAATAGAAACGAATTGAATGGAATGTCCTCCAATGTAATGGAATCGAATGGAAATGAATCGACGGGAATGGAATAGAATGGAATGGAATCAAATGGAGAGGAATAGAGTGGAAGGCAATCGAAAGGAATGGAATTGAATGGCAATGAACGGAATCAAATGGAGTGTGATGAAGTGGAGTGGAATGGATTGTCATGGAGTGTAATGGAATTGGGTGGAAATAAATTGAATGGAGTGTAGTGGAGTGGAGAAGAATGGAGTGGAATGGAATGGAATGGGAAGTAATGGAATTGAATGGAGTGGAGTGGAGAGGAGTGGACTGGAATGGACTGGAATGGAATGGACAGGAATGGAATGGAAAGAATGGAATTTAATTTAATGGACTCGAATTGAATGGACTCGAATGGAATGCAATTGAGTGAAATATAATCGAAAGGAATGGACCCGAATGGAATAAAATCAAATCGAAAGGAATGAAATGGAATGGAATGGAATCGAATCGAATCGATTGGAGTGGAATCAAAAGGTTTGGAATCGAATAGAATGGAATCGAATGGAAACGACTGTAATCGAATGGTATGCATTGAAATGGAGTGCAGTGGAATGGAATGGCGTGGAAAGGAATGGGGAGGAATGGATTTCAGTAGAGTTTAGTGGAGTGGAGTGGAAAGGAATAGAACGGAATTGAATGGAATGGAGTTGAATACAATGTAATGGAATGGAATAGAGTGGATCAGAGTGGAGTGGAGTGGAATGGAGTCGAATAGAATGGAACGGAATGGATTGGAATGGAGTGGACTGCAGTGCAATTGAATGGAATGGAATCGAATGGAATTTAATCGAAAGGCATCGAATGGAAAGCAGTGGAGAAGAGAGGAGTGAAATGTAGGGGAATGGAAAGGGGTGGAATGGAAGTGAGTGGAACGGAATGGATTGGAGTGGAATGGAGTGGAATGGAATGAGAAGGAATGGAATTGAACGGAATGGAGTGGAGTAGAGGGGAGTGGAAATGAAATGCAATGGCATGGAATGGAATGAAATGGAAATGAATGGAATGAATGGAATAGAATTGAATGGAATGGAATGGAGTGGAATTGAATGGAATAGATGGGGATGGAATGGAATCAAATGGAATGGAAACGAATGGAAGAGAATGGAATGGAATGGAATCGAGTGGAATGAAATCTAAAGGCATTCAATGCAATGAAATGGAATGCAATGAAGTGGAGTAGAGTGGATTAAAATGGAGTGGAATGGAATGGGGTGGAATGGTATTTAATGGAGGGTAGTGGAGTGGAGGGAAATAGATTGGAAAGAGATGGAATGGGAAGTAATGGAATTCAACGGAGTGGAGTGGAGTGGATTGGAATGGACTGGAATCGAATGGACTGGAAATGAACGTAAAGGAAAGAATGGAATTTTATAGAATGGATTCGAATGGAATGGAATCAAAAGGTATGGAATCAAATGGAATGGAATCGAATGTAATGGACGCGAACGGAATGTAATCGAACGGAATGGAATGGAACGGAATGGAATGGAATGGAAAGGAATGGAATGGAGTCGAATAGAATGGAAGGGAATGGAGTGTAAAGGAATGGACTCGAATTTAATGGACTAGAATGGAATGGACTCGAATGGAATGGACTCGAATGGAATAGAATCAAATGGGATGGCATCGAATGGAATGGAATGGGATGGACCCAAATGTAACGGACTCGAATGGAATAGACTCAAATAGAATGGACTTGAAACGAATGGTCTCGAATGGAGTTTATTCAAATAGAATGGTAAAGAATGGAATGGAATCGGAGGGAATGAAATCGAATGGAATGGAATCGAATGGAATGGACAGGAACGGAATGGACTGGAATAGAACGGAGTCAAATGTAATGGACTGCAATGTAATTGATTCGAATGGAATGGAATCGAATGGAATGTAATCAAATGGAATGGAATGGAATGCAATGGAATGGAATAGAATGGAATGCAGTGGAATGGAATAGAACGGAATACAATGGAATCGAATGGAGTGGAATCGAGTGGAATGCAATCGAATCGATTAGAATAGAATGAAATGGACTCGAATGGAATGGACTGTAATGGAATGGACTCAAATGGAATGAACTGGAGTGGAATGGACTGGACTGGAATGGAGAAGATTGGAATGGATTGGAAAGGAATGGAATGGAATGCAAAGGAATAAAATGGAATGGAATCAGATAGAACGGAATGGAATGGAATGGAGTCAATTTGAATGGCATTGAATGGAGTGGAATGGAATGGAATGAAGTGAAATAGAATGGAATGGAAAAGAATGGAATGGAAGGGAATGGAATGGAAAGGAATAGAATGGAATGCAATTGGAAGGAACGGAATGGAATGGAATGGAGTCGATTGGAATAGAATCGAATGGAGTGGCATCGAATGGAATTGAATGGAATGCAATGGAATGTAATGGAATGGAGCGGAAACAAATGGAATGGACTGGAGTGGAATGGACAGGAATGGAATGGAAATGAATGTAATGGAAGAAAATGGAATAGAAAGGAATAGAATGGAATGGAATCGGATGGAATGGAATGGAATGGAATGGAGTCAAATGGGATAAATTCGAATGCAATGGCTTCTAATGGAATGGAATGGAATGGACTTGAATGCAATGGACTGGAATGGAATGGACTCGAAAGGAATGGACTGGAGTGGAATGGATTCAAATGGAATGAAAAGAATGGAATGGAATGGAATGGAAAGGAATAGAATGGAATGGAATCAGATGGAACGGAATGGAATGGTATCAACTCGAATGAAATAGAATTGAATGGAATTTCAATGAATGGAATGGAAAGGACTCGATTGGAATGAACTTGAATGGAATAGAAACAAATGTAATGGGATCGAATGGAATGGAATGGAACAGAATGGAATGGACCCAAAAGTAATGGACTGGAATGGAATGGGCTCAAATTGAATGGACTCGAAAGACATGGTCTCGAATGTAATTTATATGATAGAATGGAATTGAATGGAATGCAATAGTATGGATTGGAATCGAATGGAATGGAATTGAACAGAATCGAAAGGAATAGAAAGGAATAGAGTGCAATGGAAAGATATCAAATGGAAAGGAATGGAGTGGAATGGACTCGAATGCAATGGACTGGAACGCAATGGACTCAAATGCAATGGACTGGAGTGGAATGGACTTGATTGGAATTTAAACGAATAGAATGCAATCGAATGGAAAGGACTAGAATGGAATGGAATCGGATGGAATGGAATGGAATGGAATGGAGTTCAATGCAATAAAATCGAATGCAATGGCTTCGAATGGAATGGAATGGAATGGACTCGAATGCAATGTACTGGAACTAAATGGAATCAAACGGATTGGTATTGAAAGGAACAGAATGCATTGGAATGGAATGAAATGGACTCGAATGGAATGGAGTCGAATGGATTGGAATCGAAAGGAAGGGAATCAAATAGAGTGGAATTGAATGGAATCGAATGAAATAGAATGGAATGGAGTGTAATGGAAAGACGTTGAAGGGAATGGAATGGAATGGACTTGAAAGGAATGGACTGGAATGGAAGGGACTCGAATGGAATGGACTGGAGTGGAATGGATTCGCATGGATTGGAAAAGAATGGAATGGAATGGAAAGGAACGGATTAGAATGGAATGTAATCGGATGGAACCGAATGGAATGGAATCAACTCGAATGGAATATAATCGAATAGAATTTCATCAAATGGAATGGATTGGACTTGATTGGAATGGACTCAAATGGAATAGAAAAAAAATGGACTGGGATCGAATGGAATGGAATGGAATGGAATGGAATGGAATGGTATGGACCCAAATGTAGTGGAATCGAATGGAATGGGCTCAAATATAATGGACTCGAAAGAAATGGTCTGAAATGTAAATTATACGAATGGAATGGAATTGAATGGAATGCAATAATATGGAATCGAATTGAATGGAATGGAATTGAATGGAATCGAAAGGAATAGAATGGAATGGAGTGCAATGGAAAGATATTGAATGGAAAGTAACGGAATGGAAAGGACTGTAATGGAATTCACTCGAATGGAATGGACTGGAGTGGAATGGGCTCGAATGGAATGGAGACGAATGGAATGGCATGGAATGGAAAGGAATGGAATGAATTATAAAGGAATAGAATGGAATGGAATCGGATGGAATGATATGGAATGGGATGGAGTCGAATGGAATATAATCCAATGGAATGACTTCGAATGGAATGGAATTGAAAGGAATGGACTGGAATGGAAAGGATTCGAATGGAATGGACTGGAACAAAATGGTATTGAACGGATTGGAATCAAACTGAAAGGAATTGAATGGAATGGAATGGACTCGATTGAAAGGGTGTCGAAGGGAATGGAATCGTATGGAATCTACTGGAGTAGAATGAACACAAATGGAATGGAAACCAATGGAATGGAATGGAATGCAATGCAACGGAAGGGAACGGAATGAAAAGGAATAGAAAGGAATGGAATCGGATGGAAAGGAATGGAATCGGATGGAAAGGAATGGAATGGAATGGAGTCAAATGGAATAGAATAGAATGTTATGACATCAAATGGAATGGAATGGAATGGAGTCAAATGGAATAGTATAGAATAGTATGGCATCAAATAATGGAATGGAATGGAATGGAATGAACTCGAATGGAGTGGACTCAATGGAATAGAAAGGAATGGAAGGGCATGGAATGGAATGGAATGGAATGGAATAGTGTGGAATGGACCCAAATATAATGGACTCGTATAGAATGGACTCAAATAGAATGGACCCAAAAGGAATGGACTCGAATGCAATTTATTCAAAAGAATGGAATCGAATGGAATGCAATAGTATGGAATAGAATCAAATGGAATGGAATCAAATGGAATGGACTGGAATGGAATGGACTGGCACAAAATGGAGTTGAACGCATTGGAATTGAGCAGAACAGAATGGAATGGACTGGAATGGAATGGTCTTGCATTTAATAGACTGGAGTGGAATGGTCTCGAATATAATGAACACGAATGGAATGGAATGGAATGGAAAGGAATAGAATGGAATGGAAGCGGAAGGGATGGAACGCAATGGAATGAAATGGTCTTTAATGGAATGGACTCGAATGGAATAGAATGGAATGGAATGGCATCGAATGGAATGGAATGGAAGGGAGTGTAATGGAAAGATATCAAATGGAATGGTATGGACTTCAATGGAATGGACTCGATTGCAATTTACTCAAATGGAATGGACTGGAGTGGAAAGGACACGAATGGAATGGAAACGAGTGGAATGGAATGGAATGGAATCGGGTGCAATGGAATGGAATGGAATTGGATGGAATGGAATGGAATGGAATGGAATCGGTTGAAATGGAATGAAATGGAAAGGAGTCGAATGGAATAGAATCCAAAGGAATTACTTCGAATGGAATGGAATGGAATGAAATGGAATGGAATGAAGTCGAATGGAATGGACTCGAATGGATTAGAATCAAATGGAATGGCATCGAATGGAATGGAACGGAACGGAATGGAACCAATTGTAACGTACGCAAATGGAATGGACTCAAAAAGAATGAACTCGAAAGGAATGGTCTCAAATGGAATTTATTCGAATAGAATGGAATCGAATGGAATGCAATACTATGGAATGGTTTCTAATGGAATAGAATCAAATGGAATGGACAGGAATGGAATGGACAGGAATAGAATGGAATCGTATGTAATGGATTGCAATGTAATTGATTTGAATGGAATGGAATCGAATGGAATGTAATCAAACAGAGTGGAATGAAATGCATTGGAATGGAATAGAAAGTAATGCAGTGGAATGGATTGGACTGTAATCGAATGGAATGGAATTCAACGGAATGGAATCGAAAGGAATGGAATCGATTGGAATGGATTGGAATGTAATGGACTCGAATGGATTGGACTGGAAGAAAGTGGAATTGAATAGATTGGAATAGAATGGAACAGAATGGAATTGAATGGAATGGACTGGTATGAAATGGAGTCAAATGGAATGGAATGGAATGGTATGGAATGGAATGGAAAAGAATGGAATTTAATATAATCTAAAGGAATAGAATGGAATGGTTTTAATGGAAAGAAATCGAATGGATTGGAGTGAAACGGAATGTAGTGGAATTGAATGGACTCGAATGGAATGGAGTGGAGTGGAAATGACGCGAATGGAAATGAAATGAATGAAATGGATCGGAATGGAATGGAATGGAATCGAGCGGATTGGATTGGAATAGAAAGGAATAGAATGGATTGGAATCGGATGGAACGTAATGGAATGGAGTGGAATGGAATGGAATCAAATGGAATAGAATCGTATCGAATGGCAACGAATGGAATGGACTGGAAAGGAATGGACTCGAATGGAATAGAATCGAATGGAATGGCATCAAATGGAATGGAAAGGAATGGAATGCAATTGACCCAAATGTAATGGACTCGAATGGAAGGGACTCAAAAAAATGGACTTGAAAGAATTGGCTTCGAATGGAATTTATTCGAATAGAATAGAGTCAAATGTAATGGAACAGTATGGAAGGGAATGGAATGGAATGGAATCAAAAGGAATGGAACAGAATGGAATGGAATGGAATAGAACGGACTCGAATGTATTGGACTGAAATGAAATTGATTTGAAGGGAATAGAATCGAATCGAATGTATTCAAATGGAATGGAATGAAATAGAATGGAATGCAATGGAATGGAATGGAGTGGAATCAAATGGAATGGAATCGAGTGGAATGGAACCGATTGGAATGGACTGGAATGGAATGGACTCAAATGGAATGGACCGGAAAAAAAGGAATCCAACGGATTAGAATCTAACACAGCGAAATTTAATGGAATGGATTGGAATGGAATCGAATGGAATGGAGTTGAATGAAATGGAATAGAATGGTGTAGAGTTGAATGGAATCGAAAGGAATACAATGGAATGGAATGGAATGGAAATATATCAAATGGAATGGAATGTAATGAAATGGACTCTAATGGAATGGACTCTAATGGTATGGACTGGAATGTAATGTCCTGGAGTGGAATGGAATCGAATGGAATGGAAATATGGAATGGAATGGAATGGAATGGAATGGAATGGAATGGAATGAATGGAATGAAATGGAAAGGAATAGAATGGAATGGAATCGGGTGGAATGGAATGTAATCGGATGGAATGGAATGGAATGGAATGGAGTCGAATGGAATAGAATTGAATGCAATGGAATTGAATGGAATGGAGTGGAATAGAATGGAATGGACTCGAACGGAATGGACTCAAGTGGAATAGAATGGAATGGAATGGCATCGAAGTGAATGGAATGGAAAGGAATGGAATGGACCCTATTGCAATGGACTCGAATTGAAGGGACTCAAATAGAATGGATTGGAAGGGAATGGTCTTGAATGGAATTTATTCGAATAACATGGATTTGAAAGGAATGAAATAGTATGGAATAGAATCCAATGGAATGGAATGGAATGGAATGGAATGGAATGGAATGGAATGGACTGAACTGGAATACAACACACTCGAATGTAATGGATTGCAATGTTATTGACTCGAATGAAATGGAATTGAATTTAATGTAGTCAAATGGAATGGAAAGGAATGCAATGGAATGGAACAGAATGGAATGCAATAGAATGGAATGGAGTAGAATCGAGAAGAATGGAAATGAACGGAATGGAATTGAATGGAATTGATTCGAATGGAATGGACTCAAGAGGAATTGTCTTGAATGGAATTTATTCGAAGAGAATGGAATCGAATTGAATGCAATAGTATGGAATGGAATCGAAAGGGAATGGACAGGAATGGAATGGACTGGAATAGAACAGACTACAATTTAAGGCATTGAAATGTAATTGATTTGAATGGAATGCAATCGAATGGATTGTAATCTAATGGAGCGGAATGGAATGGAATGGAATGGATTCGAAACGAATGGACACCTATGGAACATAATTGTATGGAATGGCATCGAATGGAATGGAATGGAATAGAATGGAATGAAATGGATCCGAATGGAATGGAATGGATTGGAATGGAATGAAATGGATCCAAATGTAATGGACTCGAATGGAATGGACTCAAGTAGAATGGACTCTAAAGGAATGGCCTCGAAAGGAATTTATTTGAAAACATTGGGACCAAATGGAATGCAATAGTATGGAATGGAATGCAATGGAATGGAATGGAATGGAATGGAATGGAATGGAATGGAATGGAATGGAATGGACTGGAATAGAATGGACTCGAATGTAATGGATTGCAAAGTAATTGACTCGAATGGAATGAAATCAAATTTAATGTAACCAAAAGGAATGGAATGGTATAGAATGGAATGCAATGTAATGCAACGGAGAAGAATCAATTGGAATGGAATGGAATCGAATGGACTGGAATCGAATGGAATGGACTGGAATGGAATGGACTTGAATGGAATATACTGGAACAAAATGGAACCGAACGTATTGCAATCAAATGGAACGAAATGGAATGTAATGGTGTCAAACGGAATGGAGTAGAATGGAATGGAATCGAATGGAATGGAATTACATGGAATGGAATTGAATGGAATAAAAAGAATAGAATGGAATGGATTGTAATGGAAAGATATCGAATGGAATGTCATGGAATGGAATGGACTTGAATGGAATGGACCGAAATGGAATGGATTCTAATGGGAGGGACTGGAGTGTAATGGAGTCGAATGGAATGGACTGGATTGGAACGGACTCAAATGGAATGGACACGAATGGAATGGAGTGGAATGGAAAGGAATAGAATGGAATGAATCGGATGGAATGGAATGTAATGGAGTTGAATGGAATAGAAATGAATGGAATGGCAATGAATGGAATGGAAAGCAATGGAAGGGAATGGAATGGACCCAAATGTAATGGACTGGAATGGAATAGACTCAAACAGAATGGACTCGAAAGGAACGGTCTCTAATGGAATTTATTCTAATAGAATGAATCGAATGAAATGCAATAGTATGGAGTGGAATCAAAATGAATGGAATCGAATGGAATGGAAATGAATGGAATGGACTGGAATAGAATGGACTCGAATGTAATGGATTGCAATGTGATTGATTCGAATGGAAACGAATTGAATGGAATGTAATCAAATGGAGTGGAATGGAATGAAATGGATTGGACTAGAATGGAATGCAAAGGAATGGAATGGAGTGGTAACAAGTGGAATGGAATCAAATGGAATTGAATCGAATGGAATGTACAGGAATGGAATGTACTCGAATGGAATGGACAGGAACAAAATGGAATCGAAAGGATTGGAGTAGAATGGAACGGAATGGAATGGAATGGACTCGAATGGAATAGAGTCAAAAGGAATGGAAACGAATGCATTGGAATCGAATGGAATGGAATTGAATGGAATCGAAAGGAATAGAATGGAATGAAGTGTAATGGAAACCTATTGAATAAAATGGAATGGAAAGTAATGGACTCGATTGGAATGGACTGGGATGAAAGGATTCAAATGGAATGGACTGGAGTGGAATGGACACGAATGAAATGGACTGGAATGAAACGAAATCAAATGGATTGGAATTGAACGGAACTGAATGGAATGTAATGGAATGGGATGGACTCGAATGGATTGGAGTCGAATGGAATGAAATCAAATGGAATGGAATGGAATGGAGTGGAATTGAATGGAATCGAAAGGAATAGAATGGAATGGATTGTAATGGAAAGATATCAAATGGAATGGAATGGAATGGAATTGACTCGAATGGAATGGACTGGAATGGAATGGAGTTGAATGGAATGGACTGCAGTGGAATAGACTCGAAAGGAATGGAAACGAATGGAATGGAATTGAATGGAATAGATTGGATAGAAATAGAATGGAATAGAATCAGATGGAACAGAATGGAATGGAGTCGAATGGAATAGAATCGAATGGAATGGCATTGAATGGAATGGAATAGAAAGGACTCAAACGTAATGGAATCGAATGGTGTACACACAAATAGAATGGATTCGAAAGAAGTGTTCTCGAATGGAATTTATTCGAATAAAATGGTATCGAATAGAATGCAATAGTATGGAATGGAATCGAATGGAATGGAATCGACTGGAATGGACCGGAATGGGGTGTTTTGGAATAAAACGGACTCGAATTTAAGGGATTGCAATGTAATGGATTAGAATGGAATGGAATCGAATGGAATGTAATTGAATGGAATGGGTTCGAATGAAATGTAATTGAATGGAATCAAAATTAATAGAATGGAGTGGAGTGTAACGGAAAGATATCGAATGGAATAGAATGGAATGGACTGGTATGGATTGGATTAGAGTGGAATGGACTAGAATGTAATGGACTCTAATGGAATGAACCGGAGTGGAATGGACACTAATAGAATGGAATGGAATGGAATGGAACGGAATGAACTTGAACGGAAAGGACTGGAACAAAATTTAAACGAATGCATTGGCATCAAATGGAACGGAATGGAATGGAATGGAATGGACTCGATTGGAATGGAGTCAAATGGAATGGAATTGAATAGAATGGAATAGAATGGAATTGAAAGGAGTTGAATTCAATGGCGTGTAATGGAAAGATATGGAATGGAATGCAATGGACTCGAATAGAATGGATGGGATTGGATTGGATACGAATGGAATGTACTGGATTTGAAAGGACTCGAATGGAATGGAAACAAATGGAATGGAATGGAATGGAAAGGAATAGAATGGAATGGAAATGGATGGAACAGAATGGAATGGAAACGGATGGAACAGAATGCAATGGAACGGATTCAAATGGAAAATAATCAAACGGAATGACATCGAATGGAATGGAATGGAATGGGCTCTAAAGAAATGGACTCGAATGGAATAGAATAGAATGGAATGGCACTGAATGGAATGGAATAGAACGGAATGCAATAAAATGTAACGGAGTGGAATCGAGTGGAATGGAATCAAATGGAATGTAATCAAAGGAATGGAATTTAATGAAATGGAATAGAATGGAATGGACTGGAATGGAAAGGAGTCGAAAGGAATGGAATCAAAAGGAAGGTGTTCGATTGGAATGGAAATGATTAGAATCAAAATTAATAGAATGGAATGGAGTGTAATGGAAAGATATCGAATGGAATGCAATGGAATTGATCAGAATCAAAATTAATAGAATGGAATGGAGTGTAATGGAAAGATGTCGAATGGAATGGAATGGATTGGATTCGAGTGGAATGGACTGGAATGTAATGGACTCAAAAGGAATGAACTGGAGTGGAATGGACTCTAATAGAATGGAAACGAATGGAATGCACTGGAATGGAATGGAATACAAAGAAATGGAATAGAAGGTAACGCAATGGAATGGAACGGAGTGGGGTCGAGTGGCATGGAATCGAATGGAATGGAATCTAATGGAATGGACTCGAATGGAATGGACAGGAATAAAATGGAATCCAACGCATTGGCAACGAACCGAACAGAATGCAATGGAATGGAAAGGAATGGAGTAGAATGGAAGGGAATTGAATGTAATGGAATCAAATGGAATGGAATTGATTGGAAATGAAAGAAACAGAATTAAATGGAGTGAAACGGAAAAATGTCGAATGGAATTAAATGGAATTGACTCGAATGGAATGCACTGGAATGGAATGGACACGAATGGAATGGACACGAATGGAATGGACTAGAGTGGAATGGACACGAACGGAATGGAATGTAATACATTGGAATGGAATGGAAAGGAATAGAATGGAATGGAATTTCATGGAATGGAAAGAAAGGGAATGGAGTCGAATGGAATAGAATCAAATGGAATGGCATCGAATGGAATGCAATGGAATGGATTCGAATGAAATGGACTCGAATGGAAAGGCATCGAATGGAATAGACTGGAGTGAAATGGACTCGAATGGAATGGCATCGAATGGAATGGAGTGGAATGGAATGGACCCGAATGGAATGGACTCAAATGGAATAGAATCGAATGGAATGGACCCAAATATAATGGACTCAAATGGAATAGAATTGAATGGACTGGCATCGACTGCAATGTAATGGACTGGAAAGGAATGGAATGGAATGGACCCAAATGTAATGGAGTCGAAAGAAATGGACTCAAATAGAATGGACTCGAAAGGAATGGTCTCAAAAGGAATTTATTCTAATAGAATGGAATCGAATAGACTGCAATAGTATATAATGGAATCAAATGTAATCTAACGAAATGGAATGGACAGGAATGGAATGGACTGGAATAGAATGGAATTGAATGTAATGGATTACAATGTAATTGATTCGAATGGAATGGAATCGAAAGGAGTGTAATAAAATGGAATGGAATGGAATGCAATGGAATGAAATAGAATAGAATGTAATAGAATGGAACGGAGTGGAATCGAGTGGAATGGAGTCGAATGGAATGGAATCAAATGGCATGCACTGGAAGGGAATGGATTTGAATGTAATGGACTGGAACAAAGTAGAATCGAACGGATTGGAATCGAAAAGAACGGAATGGAATGGAATGCAATAGAATGGACTCGAATGGAATTCAATTGAATGGAATTCAAAGGAATAGAATGGAATGGAATGGAATGGAAAGATATCGAATGGAATGGAATGGAATGGAATGGACTCGAATGGAATGGAGTCGAATGAAATGGAATTGAATGGAATGGAATTGAATGGAATGGAATTGAATAGAACCGAAAGGAATAGAAAGGAATGGAGTGTAAAGGAAAGATATCGAATCAAAAGGAACAGAATGGAATGGAATCAAATGGAGTGGATTGTAATGGAATGGACTATAATGGAATGCAACTGAAAGGAATCGAAAGGAATAGAGTGGAATGGAGTGTAATGGAAAGATATCAAATGGAATGGAATGGAATGGAATGGACTAGAAAGGAACGCAGTAGAATGGAATGGAATCGAATGGAATAGAATTGAATATAATCGAAATGAATAGAAAAGAATGGAGTGTAAAGGAAAGTTATCGAATGAAAAGTAATGGAATGGAATGGACTCGAATCAAGTGGATTGTAATGGAATGGACTCGAATGGAATGGACTGGAGAGGAAAGAACTCAAAAGCAATGGAAATGAACGGAATGGAATGGAATGGAATGGAATGGAATGGAATGGAAAGGAATAGAACGGAATGGAATCGGATGGAAAGGAATGGAATGAATGGAGTCAAGTGGATTAGAATCAAATGGAATGGCATCTAATGGAATGGAGTGGATGGGAATGGAATCGAATGGACTCAAACGGAATGGACTTGAACAGAATCGAATGGAATGGCATCGAAAGGAATGGAATGGAATGGAACGGAAACAAATAGAATGGACTCGAACGGATTGGATTGGATCAAAATGGAATTGAACGGAATTTAATCGGAAAGAATGGAATGAAATGGAATGGACTTGAATGGAATGGAGTCGAATGGAACGAAACTGAAAGGAATGGAATTGAATTGAATCTTAAGAAATAGAATGGGATGGAGTGTAGTGGAAAGATATCGAAAGCAATGGAATGGAATGGAATGAATTCCAATGGAACGGACTCGAATGGAAAGGACTCGAATGGAAAGTACTCGAATGGAATGGACTGGAGTAGAATGGAATCGAAAGGAATGTCATCGAATGGAATGGAATGGAACGGAATGGAATCGAATGGAATGGACTCGAATGGAATAGAATCGAATGCAATGGCATCGAATGGAATGGAATGGAATTGGATGGACCCAAATGTATTGAACTCGAATACAATAGACTCAAATATAATTTATTAAAAAGGAATGGTCTCTAATGGAATTTAATCAAATACAGTGCAATCAAATGGAATGCAATAGTATGGAATGGAATTAAATGGAATGGACCAGAATGGAATGGACTGGAATAAAATGGTTTCGATTGTAATGGATTGCAATCCAATTGATTTGAGTTGTATGGAATCAAATGGAATGAAATCATACGGAATGCAATGGTATGCAATGGAATGGAATGGAATGGAATTCAGTGGAAAGGAACGGAGTGGAATTGAGTGGAAAGGAATCGAAAGGAAGGGAATCGAATGGAATGGAATCGAATCGAATGGACTGGAATGGAATGGACTCGAATGGAATGGAATCGAATGGAATGGACTGGAAGAAAATGGAATAGAACGGATTGAAGTAGAACAGGATGCAATGGAATGGAAAGGAATGAAAAGGAATGGACACGAATGGAATGGAGTCGAATGGAATGGAATTAAATAGAATGGAATGGAATGGAATGGAATGGAATGGAATGGAATGGAATGGAATGGAATGGAGTGAAATGGAAAGATATCAAATGGAATTGAACGGAATGGAATGGAATGAAATGGACTGGAGTGGAATGGACTCGAATGAAATGGACTAGAGTGGAATGGACACGAATGGAAAGGAAATGAATGGAATGGAATGGAATGGAAAGGACTACAATGGAATGGAATCGGATGGAACTGAATGGAATGGAATGGAAACGAATGGAATAGAATCGTGTGGAATGACATCGAATGGAATGGAATGGACTCTAATGGAATAGAATCGAAAGTAATGGCATGGAATGGAATGGAAAGGAATGGAATGGAATGAAATGGAACGGACCCAAATGTAATGTACACGAATGGAATGCAGTCAAATAGAATGGACTCGAAAGGAATGGTCTCGAATGGAATTTATTCAAATAGAATGGAATCGAAAGGAATGTAATAGTATCTAAATGAATCAAATGGAATTTAATCAAATGGAATGGACTGGAATGGAATGGACTGGAATAGAAAACACTCAAATATAATGGATGGAAATGTAATTGATTCGAATGCCTTGAAATTGAATGGAATGTAATCAAATGGAATGGAATGGAATGCAAAGGAATGGAATAGAATGGCAAGCAGTGGAATGGAACAGAATGGAATAGAGTGGAATGGAATCAAATGGAATTTAATCGAATTGAATGGAATGGAATAGAAAGGAATGGAATCGAATGGAATGGACTGGAATGGAATGTACTCGAGTGGAATTGAATGGAATAAAATGGAATGGACTCGATTGGAATTGATTGGAACAAAATGGAATGTAATGGATTGGAATCGAATGGAACAGAATGGAATGGAATTTAATGGAATGGAATGGAGTCAAATGGAATAGAATAGAATGGAATGACATCGAATGGTATGGACTGGAATTGGATGGACCCAAATGTAATGGACTTGAATGTAATAGACTCAAATAGAATGGATTAAAAAGGAATGGTCTTGAATGGAATTTATTCGAATACAGTGGAATCGAATGGAATGCAATAGTATGGAATGGAATCGAAAGGAATGGACGAGAATGGAATGGACTGGAATAGAATGGACTCGAATGTAATGGATTGCAATCCAATTGATTTGAGCTGAATGGAATCAAATGGAATGTAATCATAGGAAATGTAATGATATGCAATGGAATGGAATAGAATGGAATGCAATGGAATGCAATGGAGAGGAAACGAGTGGAATGGAATCGAATGGAAGGGAATCGAATGGAATGGAATCGAATTGAATGGACTGGAATGGAATGGACTCGAATGGAATGGACTGCAACAAATAGGAATCGAACGGAATGAAGTCGAACAGAAAGGAATGGAATGGAAGTAAAGGAATGGATTCGAATGGAATGGAGTCGAATGGAAAGGAATACAGTGGAATGGAATCGAATGGAATGGAATTGAATGGAATCGAAATGAAAAGAATGGAAAGGAATGAAAAGGAAAGATATCAAGTGGAATTGAATGGAATGGAATGGACTCGAATGAAATGTACTGGAATGGAATGGACTCGAATGGAATGGGTTGGAGTGGAATGGACTCCAATGCAATGGAAACCAACGGAATGGAATGGTATGGAAAGGGCAAGAATGGAGTGGAATCAGATGGAACCGAATGAAATGGAATGGAGTCGAATAGAATAGAATCAAATGGAATGGCATGGAATGGAATGGAATGGAATGGAATGCATTCGAATGGAATGGACTCTAATGGAATAGATTCGAATGTAATGGTATCAAATGGAATAGAAAGGAATGGAATGGAATGCAATGGAACGGACCCAAATGTAATGGACACGAATGGAATGGACTCAAATAGAATGGACTCAAAAGGAATGGTCTCGAATGGAATTTATTCAAATAGAATGGAATCCAAAGGAGTGCAATAGTATCAAATGGTATTGAATGGAACTGAATCAAATGGAATGGACCAGAATGGAATGGACTGGAATAGAATGGACTCGAATGTAATGGATTGTAATGTAATTTATTTGAATGTCTTGGAATTGAATGGAATGAAATCAAATGGAACGGAATGGAATGCAATGGAATGGAACAGAATGGAATGCAATGGAATGGAATGGAGTGAAATCTAGTGGAATGGAATCAAATGGAATTTAATCGAATCGAAAGGAAGGGAATCAAATGGAATGGACCAGAATGGAATGGACTCGAGTGGAATTGACTGGAACAAAATGGAAAGTAATGTATTGGAATCGAATGGAACGCAATGGAATGGAATGGAATGGAATGGACATGAATGGCATGGAGTCGAATGGAATGGAATCAAATGGAATGGAATTGAATGGAATGGAACTGAATGGAATCAAAAGGAATAGAATGGAATGGAGTGTAATGGAAAGATATCGAATGGAATGGAATTGAATGGAATCGAAAGGAATAAAATGGAATGGAGGGTAATGGAAAGATATCGAATGGAATGGAATGTAATGGACTCGAATGGAATGGACTGCAATGGAATGGACTCGAGTGGAATTGACTGTAACAAAATGGAAAGTAACGGATTGGAATCGAATGGAACGGAATGGAATGGAATGGACATGAATGGCATGGAGTTGCATGGAATGGAATCGAATGGAATGGAATTGAATGGAATCGAAAGGAACACAATGGAATGGAGTGTAATGGAAAGATATCGAATGGAATGGAATTGAATGGAATCGAAAGGAATAGAATGGAAAGGAGAGTAATGGAAAGTTATCGAATGGAATGGAATGGAATGGAATGGGCTCCAATGGAATGGACTGCAATGGAATGGACTCAAAAGGAATGGACTGGAGAAGAATGGAATTGAATGGAATGGAATTGAATGGAATGGATTGGAATGCAGTGGAAAGGAATAGAAAGGAAAGGCATTGGATAGAAAGGAATGGAGTTTAACTGAGTCAAATAGAATAGAATTGAATGGAATGGCATCGAATGGAATGGAATGGAATGGATTGAAATGGTATGGACTCGAATGAAATGGACTCAAAAGGAATAGAATAGAATTGAATGGCATCGAATGGAATGGAATAGAAGGCAATGGAAGGGAAGGGATTAGAATGCAAAGGAATCAGATGGAACAGAATGGAATGGAATGGAATCAAATGGAGTAGAATCGAATGGAATGGCATCGAATGGAAGGGAATGGAATGGATTGAAATGGTATGGACTCGAATGGAATGGACTCAAAAGGAATAGAATAGAATAGAATAGAATGGCATTGAATGGAATGGAATAGAATGGAATGGACGGGAAGGGAATAGAGTGCAATGAAATCGGATGGAACAGAATATAATGGAATGGAATCGAATGGAAAGGAATCGAATGGAATGGACTGGAATGGAATGGACTCTATTGGAAACGACTATAACAAAATGGATTGAATGGATTGGAATCGAATGGAATGGAATTGAATGGAATGGAATGGAGTGGACTTGAATGGAATGGAGTTGAATGGAATGGAATCAAATGGACGGGAATCGAATGGAATGGAATTGAATGCAATCGACAGGAATAGAATGGAATGGAGTTTAATGGAAAAATACAGAATAGAATGGAATGGAATGGAATGGAATGGAATGGAATGGAATGGAATGGAATGGACTCGATAGGAATGGACTGGAATGGAATGGACTCAAAAGGAAAAGACTGGAGAGGAATGAACTCGAACGGAATGGAATGGAATTTAATGAAATGGAATGGAATGGAATGGAAAGGAAAAGAATGTAATGTAATCGGTTGGAACGGAAAGGAATGGAATGGAGTTGAATGGAATAGAATCGAATGAAATGGTATCGAATAGAATGGCATGGAATGGACTCGAATGGAATGGACTCGAATGGAATAGAATCGAATGGAATCGCATCAAATGGAATGGAATGGAATGGAATGGACCCAAATGTCATGGACTCGAATGGAATGGACTCAAATACAATGGACTCAAACAGAATGAACTCAAAAGTAATGCTGTCGGATGGAATTTATGCGAATAGAATGGAATCAAGAGGAATGTAATATTTCGGTAGGGTATCGAATGGAATGGAATCGAATAGAGTGGAAAGAAATGGAATGGACTGGAATAGAACGGACTCGAATGTAATGGATTGCAATGTAATTGTTTCGAATGGAATGGAATTGAATGGAATGTAATCAAATGGAATGGAATTTAATGCACTGGAATGGAACGGAGTGGAATCGAGTGGAATTGAATCGAATGAATGGAGTCGAATGGAATGAACAGGAAAAATGGACTCGAACGGATTGGAATCGAATGGAACGGAATGGAATGGAATGGAATGCACTCGAATGGAATGGAGTTGAATGGAATGGAATCGAATGGAATGTAATGGAATGGAATGAAATGGAATAGAATCAAAAGGAATAGAATGGAATGGTGTGTAATGGAAAGATATCAAATGGAATGCAATAGAATTGAATGGACTCGAAGGGAATGGAGTGGAATGGAATGGACCCGAATGGAATGGACTGGAGTGCAATGGACACGAAAGGAATGGAAATGACTGGAATGGAATGGAATTCAATGGAATCAGTTGGAAAGGTTTAGAATGCAATGGAATCCTATGGAATGGAATGGAAGGGAATAAAGTCAAATGGAATAGAATTGAATGGAATGGCATCGAATGGAATGCAATGGAATGGACTCGAATGGAATGGACTGGAACAAAATGGAATCGAACGGATTGGAATCGAACGGAACGGAATGGAATGGAATGCAATGGACTCGAATGGAATGGAGTCAAACGGAATGGAATCGAGTGGAATGGAATCAAATGGAATGGAACTGAATGGAATCGAATGCCTTTGAATGTAATGGATTGTAATGGAAAGGTATCGAATGGAATGGAATGGAATTGAATGGACTCGAATGGAATGACTGGAATGGAATGGACTCGAAGGGAAAGGACTAGAGTGGAATGGACTCGAATGAAATGGAAAGGAATGGAATGGAAAGGAATGGAATGAAAGAGAAAGGAAAAGAATGGATTGAAATCGGTTAGAATGGAATGGAATCGAATGGAGTCGAACTGAATAGAATAGAATGGAATGGCATCGAAGGGAATGGAATAGAAAGGAATGGAATGGAATATACCCGAAGGGAATAGGTTCGAATGGAATAGCATCAAATGCAATGGAATGGAATGAAATGGACCCAAATGTAACGGAATTGAATGGAATGGGCTGAAAAAGAATGGACTCAAAAGGTATGGTCTCGAACGCAATTTATTCTAATACAATGGAATCGAATGGAATGCAATAGTCTGGAATGTATTCGAATGGAATGCAATCAAAAGGAACGTACCAGAATGGAATTGACTGGATTAGAACGGACTCAAATATAATAGATTGCAAAGTAACAGATTCGAATAGAATGGACTTGAATCGAATGTAATCAAATGGAATGGAAATGAATGGAATGGAATGGAATAGAATGGAATGCAATGGAATGGAATGGAGTGGAATTGAGTGGAAGGGAATCGAATCAATTGGAATGGAATGGAATGGAGTGGAATGGAATGCAATGCAATGGAATGGACTCAAATGAAAGGCACTGGAGTTGAATGGGCTCAAATGGATTGTAAACGAATGGAATGGAATGGAATGGAAAGGAATAGAATGGAATGGAATCGGATGGAATGGAATGAAGTTGAAAGGAGTCTAATGGAATAGAATCACATGGAATGACATTGAATGGATTGGAAAGGAATGGAACGGAATGGAATAGACCCAAATGTAATGGACTCGAATGGAATGGACTCAAATAGAATGGATTCGAAAGAAATGGTCTCTAATGGAATTTATTCGAATAGAATGGAATCGAATGGAATGCAATAGAATGGAATGAAATTGAATGGAATGGACCAGAATGTAATGCCTGGAATAGAACGGACTTGAATGTAAGGGATTGCAAAATAAGTGATTCGAATGGAATGCAATCGAATGGAATGAAAAAGAATGGAATGGACCGGAATGGAACGGACTGGAATAGAAAGGACTCGAATGCAATAGATTGCAATGTAATTGATTCGAATGGAAAGGAATTGAATGGAATGTAATCAAATGGAATGGAATGGAATGCAATGTAATGGAATAGAATGGAAAGCAATGGGATGCAATGGAGTGGAATCAAGTGAAATGGAATTGAATGGAATGTAATGGAATCGAATGTAATGGAATCGAATCGAATGGACTGCAATGGAATAGACTAAAATGGAATGGACTGGAACAAAATGCAATGGAACAGATTGGAATCGGATGGAACGGAATGGAATGGAATGGAATGGAATGGAATGGACTCGAACGGAATGGATTCGAATGGAATGGAATCGAATGGAATGGAATCAAAAGTAATGGAGTCGAATAGAATGGACTGGAATGGAATGGACTGGAAAAAAATGGAATTGAGCGGATTGGAATCCAATGGAACGGAATTGAATGGAATGGACTCGAATGGAATGAAGTCAAATGGAATGGTACCGAATAGAATGGAATCTAATGGAATGGAATTGAAAGGAATCGAAAGGAATAGAATGGAATGGAACGTAATGGAATGATATCGAATGCAATAGAATGGAATGGAATGGTATCAAATGGAATGGAATGGAATGGCATGGAATGGAATGGACTCGAATGGATAGGACTGGAGTGGAATGGAGAAGAACGGAATGGACACGAATGGAATGGAATGGAATGGAATGGAATGGAATGGAAAGGAATGGAATAGAATTGAATAGAATGGAACGAAATTTGATGGAACAGAATATAAAGAAACGAGTCGAATGGAATAGAATCGAATGGAATGGTATCGAATGGAATGGACTTGAATAGAATGGACTCGAATGGGGTAGAATAGAATGCAATGGCATCGAAAGGAATGGAAGGGAATGGAGTGTAATGGAAAGATATTGAAGGGAATGGAACGGAATGGACTCGAACGGAATGGACTGGAATGGAATGGACTCGAATGGAATGGACAAGAGTGGAACTGACACGAATGGAATGGAATGGAATTTAAAGGAATCGAAAGGAATGGAATCAGATGGAACAGAATGGAATGAAATGGAGTCGAATGGAATAGAATCGAACGGATTAGCATGAAATGGAATGGAATGGACCCAAATGGAATGGACACACATGAAAAGGACTCAAATAGAATGGACTCGAATGGAATGGTCTCGAATGAAATGTATTCGTATAGAATGTAATCAAATGGAATGCCATATTATGGAAGGGAATTGAATGGAATGGAATTGAATGGAATGGACTGGAATGGAATGTACTGGAAGAGAACGGACTCGAATGTAATGGACTGCAATGTAATTGATTAGAATTGAATGTAATCAAAAGTAATGTAATCTAATGGAATGGAATGCAATGCAATGAAGTGAAATCGAATGGAATGGAATGGAACGGAATGGACCCATATGTAATGGACTCAAAAGGAATGGACTCAAATAGAATGGACTCGAAAGGAATAGTCTCAAATGGAATTTATTCGAACAGGATGCAATCGAATGGAATGCAATAGTGTGGATTGGAATTGAATGGAATGGAATTGAATGGAATGGACTGCAATGGAATGGACTGGAATAGAACGGACTTGGGTGTAATGGATTGAAATGTAATTGAATTGAATGGAATGCAGTCGAATGGAATGGAACGGAATGCAAAGGAATGGAATAGAATGGAAGGCAAAGGAATGGAATGGAGTGGAATTGAGCAGAATGGAATCGAATGGAATGCAATCGAATGAAATGGAATTGCATGGAATGGACTGGAATGAAAAGGACTCGAAGGGAATGTACTGGAACAAAATGCTTTCAAACGAATTGGCATCGAATGGAATGGAACAGAATGGACTCGAATGGAATAGACTGGAATGGAGTGAACTCGAATGGAATGTACTGGAGTGGAATAGATTCGAGTGGAATGGAAACTAATGGAATGGAATGGAAATGAATAGACTGGAATGGAATTGGATGTAATGGAATAGAAAGGAATGACTCGAATGGAATAGAATTGTGTGGAATGCCATGGAATGGAATGGAATGTACACGAAAGGAATGGACTCAAATGGTATTGAATGGAGGGGAATGGCACCGAATGGAAAGGAATGGAATGAAATGGAATGGAAAGGAATGGACCCAAAAGAAATGGACTCGAGTGGAATGGACTCCATTAGAATGGACTTGAAAGGAATGGTCTCGAATGGAATTTATTCGAATAGAATGGAATCGAATGGAATGCAATAGTATGGAATGTAATTGAATGGCATGGAATCGTATGGAATGGACCAGAATGGAATTGACTGGAATAGAATGAACCCGAATGTAATGGATGTCAATGTAATTGATTTGAATGGAATGTAATCAAATGGAATGTAATCAAATGGAATGGAATGGAATTCAACAGAATGGAATATAATGGAATGAAATAATATGGAATGGAAAAGAATCTAGTGGAATGGAATCGAATGGAATGGAATCGAATGGAATGGACCGGAATGGAACGTAATGGAATAGAACAGACTCCAATGTAATGGATTGCAATGTAATTGATACTAATGGATTGGAATAGAATGGAATGTAATAAAAAGAATTGAATAGAATGCAATGGAATGGAATAGAATGGAATGCAATAGAATGGACCAGAGTGGAATCGAGTAGAATGTAATTGAATGGAATGCAATCGAAGGGAATGGAATGGAACAAAATGGCATTGAACGGATTGGAATGGAATGGAATGGAATGGAATGGATTCGAATGGACGTGAATTGGAGTCAAATGGAATGGAATAGAATGGAATGGAATTGAATGGAATGTAATTGAATGGAATCCAAAGGAATAGAATGGAATGGAATGGAATGGAATGGAAAGGTATTGAATGGAATGGAATGGAATGGAATGGACTCGAATGTAATGGACTGGAATGGAATGGACTCGAATGGAATGGACTGGAGTGGAATGGACTCGAATGGAATGGTGTCAAATGGAATGGAATCGATTGCAGTGGAATCGAAACGAATGGAATTGAATGGAATAGAAAGGAATAGAATGGAATAATGTGTAATGGAAAAATATCGAATAGAATGGAATGGAATGGACTCGAAAGAAATGGAATGCTTAGGAATGGACTCGGATGGAATGGACTGGAGGGGAATGGAATCAAATGCAATGGAAGCGAATGGAATGGAAAGGAATGGAATGGAATGGAATGAAATGGAAAGGAATAGAATGAAATGGAATCGGTTGAAACGGAATGGAATGGAATGGAGTCAAATGGAATAGAATCGATTGGAAGGGCATCTAATGCACAGGAATGGAATGAACTAGAATTGAATGTACTTGAAAAAAATGGAATTGAACGGACTGGAATCACAGGAAATGGAATGGAATGGAATGGACCCAAATGTAATGGACTTGAATGGAAGGGACCCAAATAGAATGGACTCGAGGGGAATGGTCTCAAAGGGAATTTATTCGAACAGAATGGAATCGAATGGAATGAAAACTATAGAATGGAATCGAATGGAATGGAACCGAATGGAATGGACGGGAATGGAATGGACTCGATTGGAATGTACTGAAGTGGAATGGACACAAAAGGAATGGAAACGAATTGAATGGAATGGAATGGAATTTAATGCAAAGGAATAGAATGGAATGCAATGGGATGGAACTGAATGGGATGGAACTGAATGGAATGGAATGGAGTCAAATGGAATAGAATCGCATTGAATGGCATCGAATGGTATGGAATGGAATGGACTCGAATGGAATGGACTGGAACAAAATGGAATCAAACGGATTGGAATCGAATGGTATGGAATGGGATTGAATGGAATGGAATGGACTCGAATGGAAAGGAGTCAAATGGAATGGAACCGAATGGAATGGATTGGAATGGAATGGGATTGAATGGAATGGAATGGACTCGAAACGAATGGAGTCGAATGGAATGGAACCAAATGGAATGGAATGGACTCGAAACGAATGGAGTCGAATGGAATGGAACCAAATGGAATGGATTCGAATGGAATGGAATTAATGGAATCGAAAGGTATAGAATGGAATTGGGTGTAATGTAAATATATCGAATGGAATGGAATGCAATGGAAGGGACTCGAATGGAATGGACTGGAATGGAATGGAATGGAATGAAATGAAATGGAAAGGAATAGAATGGAAAGGAATTGGATGGAATGGAATGGAATGGAATGGAGTCTAATGAAATAGAATCGATTGGAATGGCATCGAATGGAATGGAAAGGAATGGACCTGAATGGAATGGACTCAAAAAGAATGGAAACGAATGTAATAGAATCAATGGAATGGAAAGGAGTAGAATGGAATGGAATTGGATGAAACGAACTGGAATGGAATAGAGAAGAATGGAATAGAATCGAATGGAATGACATTGCATGAAATGGAATGCAATGGAATGCAATGGAATGGAAAGTACCCAAATATAATGGACTCGAATGGAATGTACATAAATGGATTGGACTCGAAAGGAATGGTATCGAATGGAATTTATTCGAATAGAATGGAATCGAATGGAATGCCATCGTATGGAATAGAATCGAAAAGAAAAGAATCGAATGGAATGGACAGGAAAGAAATGGACTGGAATAGAATGGACTCGAATGCATTGGATTGCAATTTATGTGATTTGAATGGAATGGAAACGAATGGAAAGTTATCAAATTGAATGGAATGTTAAGCAATGAAATGGAATAAAATGGAATGCAATGGAAAGGAACGGAGTGGAATCAAGTGGAATGGAATTGAATGGAATGGAGTCGAATGGAATGCAATCAAATGGAATGGAATGGAGTGGAATGGACTGCAATGGAATGGACTGGAACAAAATGGAATCGAATGGATTGGAATCAAATGGAAAGTAAAGGGATGGACTGGAATGGAATGGACACGAATCAAATGAAGTAGAATGGAATGGAATGGAACCGAATGGAATTGAATCAAATGGAATGGAATTGAATGAAATTGAAAGGAATAGAATGGAATTGGGTGTAATGGAAAGATATCAAAAGGAATGGAATAAAATGGAAGGGACTCGAATGGAATGGAAAAGAATGGAATGGAATGGAATGGAATGGAATGGAATGGAATGGAATGGAATGGAATGGAATAGAATGGAATGCAATCGGAGGGAACGGAATGGAATGGAATGGAGTCGAATTGAATAGAATGGAATTAAATGGCATCGAATGTATTGTAAAGGAATGCAATGGAATGGAACGGAAAAGAAAGGAATGGACTCGTATGGAATAGAATCATTTGGAATGGCATGGAATGGAATGGAATGGAATGGAATGGAGTGAACCAAAATGTAATGGACTCCAATGGAATGGATTATACTACAATGGACAAGAAAGGAATGGTCTCGAATGGAATTTATTCAAATAGAATGGATGTGAACGGAATGCAATTGTATGGAATGGAATCGAATGAAATGGACTGGAATGGAATGGACAGGAATGGAATGGACTCCAATGTAATGGATTGCAATGTAATTGATTCGAAAGGAGTGGAATTAAATGGAAAGAAATCAAATGGAAGGGAATGGACTGCATGGGAATGGAATAGAATGGAATGCAATGAAATGGAACGGACTGGAATCGAGAAGAATGGAATCGAATAGAATGGAATCGAAAGGAATGGACTGGAAAAAATGGAATTCAACGGATTGGAATTGAACGGAATGGAATGGAATGGAATGGAATGGAATGGAATGGAATGGAATCAATTGGAATGGACTCGAATGGAATGGAGTCAAATGGAGTGGAATCAAATGGAATGGAATCGAAAGCAATGGAATTGAATGGAATTGAAAAGAATAGAATGGAATGGAGTGTAATGGAATGCTATCGAATGGAATGCAATGGAATGATATGGACTTGAAGGGAATGGATTGGAATGGAATGGACTCGACTGGAATGGACTGGAGTGGAATGGACTCGAATGGAATGCTGTCAAATGGAGTGCAATCGATTGCAATGGAATCGAATGGAATGGAATTGAACAGAATTGAAAGGAAAAGAATGGAATGGAGTGTAATGGAAAACTATCGCATGGAATGGAATGGAATGGACTCGACAGGAATGGACTGGAGTGGAATGGACTCGAATGCAATGGAAGTGAATGGAATGGACTGGAATGGAATGGACTCGAATGGAATGGACTGGAACAAAATGGTATCAAACGGATTGGAATCGAATGGAACGGAATGGAATGGAATGCAATGAAATGGAATGGAAAGGAATGGACTCGAATGGAATGGAGTCGAATGGAATAGAGACGAAAAGAATGAAATCAAAAAGAATGAAATCGAAAGGAATGGAGTCCAAAATAATGGGATCGAAAAGAATGAAATCGAATGGAAGGGAGTAAAATGGAGTGGAATCCAATAGAATGATATTGAATGGAACCAAAACGAACATAATGGAATGGGGTGTAATGGAAAGATATCGAATGGAATGGAATGGAATGGAAATGAACGGACTTGAATGGAATAGACTCAAAAGCAATGGACACGAATGGAATGGACTGGAGTGGAATGGATTCCAATGGAATGGAAATGAATGGAATGGAACGAGTAGAATGGAATGGAATCACATGAAACGGAATGGAATGCAATGGAGTCAAATGGAACAGCATCAAATGCAATGGCCATGAAAGAATGGAATTGAATGGAATGGACTCGAATGGAATGGACTCGAAAGAAATAGAGTCCAAATGAATGGCATCAAATGGAATGGAATGGAATGGAATGGAATGGAATGGAATGGACCCAAATATAATGGACTCGAATGGAATGGACTCAAATAGAATGGACTCGAAATGAATGGTCTCAAATGGAATTTATATGAATAGAATGGTATTGAATGGAATGCAATAGTAGGGAATGGAATCAAAAGGAGTGGAATCGAATGGAATGGACTGGAATGGACAGGACTGGAATAGAACCGAATAGAAAGTTATGGAATGCAATGTAATTGATTTGAATTGAATGGAATCAAAAGGAATGTAATCAAAAGGAATGCAAAGGAATGAAATGTAATGGAATAAATTGGAATGCAATGGTATGGAACGGAGTGGAATTGAGTGCAATGGAATGGAATGGAATTGAATGGAATGGAATCTAATGGAATGTACTGGAATGGAATAGACTCAAATGGAATGGAGTGGAAAAAAATGGTATCGAATGGATTGGAATCGAATGGAACAGAATGGAATGGAATGGAATGGAAATGAATGGAATGGAGTAGAATGGAATGGAATTGAATGGAATCAAAAGGAACAGAATGGAATGGACGGTAACGGAGAAATATCAAATGGAATGGAATGGAATGGAATCAAATGGAATGGACTGGAATGGAATGGACTCGAATGGTATGGAATGGAATCAGATAGAAAGGAATGGAATGGAAAGGAATAGAATGGAATGGAATTAGATAGAATGGAATGGAATAAAATGGAACCGAATGTAATAAAATCGAAAGGAATGGAATGGAATGGACTCGAAAGGAATAAAATCAAATGGAATAGCATCGAATGGAATGGAATGGAATTTAACGGAATGGAATGGATTGGAATGGATCCAAATGAAATGGAATAGAATGGAATGGACTCAAACATAATGGACTCAAAAGGAATAGCCTCGAATGGAGTTAACTCGAATAGAATGTAACAAAATGGAATGCAATAGTATGGAATGGAATCCAATGGAATGGAGTTGAATGGAATGGACAGGAATGGAATGGACTGGAGCAGAACGGAATCGAATGTAAAAATTAAAACGTAATTATTTCGAATGGAATGGAATAGAAGGGAATCAAATGGAATGGAATGCAAAGCAATGGAATGGAATAAAATGGAATACAATGGAATGGAAGACAGTTGAGTGGAATGGAATCGAAGGGAATGGACTGGAATGGAATGGACTCCAGTGGAATGGACTGGAATAAAATGGATTAGTACAGATTTGAATAGGACAGAAGGGAATTGAATAGAATTGAATGGAATAGACTCGAAAGGAATGGAGTCAAATGGAATGGAATCGAATGGAATAGAACTGAAAGGAAACGAAAGGAATAGAATGGAATGGAGTGTAACGGAAAGATATCGAATGGAATGGAATATAATCGAATGCAAAGGACTGGAATAGAAAATAATCGAATGGAAAGGACTTTAGTGGAATGGACTGAAAAGGACTGAAAAGGAATGGGATGGAATGGAATTGAATGGAATGGAATGGAATGGAATGAAATAGAATGGAATGGAATCGGATGGAACAGAATGGAATGCAATGGAGTCTAATGGAATAGTATCGAAAGGAATGGCAGCGAAAAGAATGGAATGGAATGGCATGGAATGGGCTCGAATTGAATGAACTCGAGTGGAATAGAATGCAATAGAATGGCATCGAAAGTAATGGAATGGAATGGAATGGAATGGAACGGAATGGAATGGATCCAAATATAATGGATTCAAAAGGCATGGACTCAAATAGAATGTACTCGGAATGGAATGGATTGAACAGAATGGACTAGAGTGGAATGGACTCGAATGGAAAGGACTGGAGAGGACTTTACTCGAATGGAATGGAAACGAATGGAATGGAATGGACTTTAAAGGAATAGAATGGAACGGAATTGGATAGGATGGAATGGAATGGAATAGAATTAAATGGAGTGGAATGGAATAGAATTGAATGGAATGGCAGCGAATGGAATGGAGTGGAATGGAATAGAATGGAATGGACTCGAATGACATGGACTCTAATGGAATACAAATGAATGGAGTGACATCGAATGGAATGGATTGCAATGGAATTGAATGGAATGGACCCAAATAGAATGGACTCGAATGGAATGGACTCGAAAGGAATGGTCTCGAATGGAATTTATTTGAATAGAATGGAATCGAATGAAATACAATAGTATGGAGTGGCATCGAATGGAATGGAATCGAACGGAATGGACCGGAATGGATTGGACTGGAATAAAACGGACTCGAATGTAATGCATTGCAATGCAATAGATTTGAATGGAATGGAATCGAATGGAATGGAATGGAACGGAATGGGCCGGACAGGAATGGACTGGAATAGAACTCGAATGCAATGGATTCCAATGTAATTGATTCGAAATTAATGGAATCGAAAGGAATGTAATCAAATGGAATGGAATGTAATGCAATGGAATGTAATAGAATGGAAAGCAATGGAATGGAAGACACTGGATTCGAGTGCAATGGAATCGATTGGAATGGAATCGAATGGAATGGATTGGCATGGAATGGACTCAAATGGAATGGACTGGAACAAAATGGAATGGAATAGGGATTCCAACGGAATGCAATGGAATGGAATGCAATGGACTTGAATGGAATAGAGTCGAATGGAATGGAGTCGAATGGAATGGAATCAAAAGGATTGGAATTGAATTGAATTGTAAGGAACAGAATGGAATGGGGTGTTATTGAAAGATATCGAATGGAATGGAATGGAGTGGAATGGACTTGAATGGAATGGACTGGAATGGAATGGACTCGAATGGAATGGACTGGAGTGGAGTGGACTCGAATGGAATGGAAACGAATGGAACAGAATGGAATGGATTGGAATAGAAAGTAATAGAATGGAATGGAATCATTTGGAAGGGAATGGAATGGAATGCAGTCGAATGGAATAGGGTTGAATGTAATGGCATCGAATGGAATGGAATGGACTCAAATGGAATGGACTTGAATGGAATAGAGTGGAATGGAATGGCACCGAATGGAATGGAATGGAAAGGAATGGAATGTGCACAAATTTAATGGACTCAAATGGAATGGAGTCAAATAGAATGGACACGAAAGGAATGGTCTCGATTGGAAATTATTCAAAAACAATGGAATCGAATGGAATGCAATAGTATGGAATGGTATCGAATGGAATGGAATCGAATGGAATGCACCAGAATCGAATGAACTGTGATAGAACAGACTCGAATGTAATGGACTGCAATGTAATTGATTCAGCTGGATTGGAATTCAATGGAATGTAAACAAATGGAATGGAATGGAATGGAATGGAATGGAATGGAACGGAATGGAATTGAATGGAATGGAATAGAAAGGAACGCAAAGGAATGGAACGGAGTGGAATTGAGTGGAATGGAATCGAATGGAGTGGAATCAAATGAATTGCACTGGAATGCAATGGACTCGAATGGAATGGACTGGAACAAAATGGAATCGAAGGGAATGGAATAGAACATAAAGAAATGGAATGGAATGGATTGCAATGGACTCAAATGAAATGGAGTTGAATGTAATGGAATTGAATTGAATGGAATTGAATAGAGTGGAATTGAATGGACTGTAAAGGAATACAATGGAATGGAGTGTAATGGAAAGATATCGAATGGAATGGAATGGAAAGGAATGGAATACACTGGAATGGAATACACTGAAGTGGAATGGTCTCCAGTGGAATGGAATGGAATACACTGGAATGGAATGCACTGAAGTGGAATGGTCTCCAGTGGAATGGAATGGAATGCAATGAAATGGAAAGGAATAGAATGGAATGGAATCCGATGGAACTGAATGGAAAGGAATGGAGCCTAATGGAAATGAATCAAATTGAATGGCATCGAATGGAATGGGATGGAATGGAATACACGCAGATGTAATGGACTCGAATGGAATAGACTCAAATTGATTGGACTCGAAGAAATGGTCTCGAATAGAACTTATTTCAATAAGATGGAATCCAATGGAATGCACAAGAATGGAATGGAATCAAAGGGAATGGAATTGAATGGTATAGACCAGAATGGAATGGACTGGAACAGAACGTACTCGAATGTGATGGATTGCAATGTAATTGATTCGAATGGAATGGAATAGAATGGAATTGAATGGAATGGACCATAATGCATTGGACTTTAATAGAAAGGGCATGAATGTAATGCATTGCAATGTAATTGATTCGAATGGAATGGAATCGAATGGAATGTAATCCAATGGAATGGAATGGAATGCAATGGAATGGAATAGAATGGAATGCAATGGAATGCAACGGAGTGGAAATGAGTGGAATGGAATCGAATGGAATGGAATCGAATGGAATGGACTGGAATGGAATGGACTCGAATGGAATGGAGTCGAATGGAATGGAATCGAATGAAATGTAATCAAATGGAATTGAATTGAATGGGAACCAAAGGAATAGAATGGAATGGACTGTAATGGGAAGATATCAAATGGAATGGAAAGCAATGGACTCTATTGGAATGGACTGGAATGGAATGGACTCGAATGGAATGGACTTGAGTGGAATGAATTTGAATGGAATGGAAACGAATGGAATGGAATGGAATGCAATGGAATGGAATTGAATGGAATACAATGGAATGGAATCGCATGGAATGGAATGGAAAGGAATGGTGTCGAATGGAATAGAATTGAATGGAATGGCATTGAATAGAATGGAATGGAACGTACTCGAATTTAATGGACTGGAGTGAAATTTATTTGAATGGAATGGACTGGAGTGGAATGGACTCGAATGGAAAGGAAACGAGTAGAATGGAATGGAATGGAATGGCTTGAAATGGATAAGAAATGAAAAGAATGTAATGGAATCGGATGGAATGGAATTGAATGTATTGGAGTCGAGTAGAACAGAATTGAATGGAATGGCATCAAATGGAATGGAAACGAAAGGAATGGAATTGAATGGACTCAAATGTTATGGAATCAAAGGGAATGGACTCAAATAGAATGGACTCAAAAGAAATGGCTTTGAATGGAACTTATTCGAATATAATTTAATCGAATGGAATGCAATAGTATGGAATGGAATCGAATAGATTGGAAAGAAATCGAATGGAACGGAATAGAATAGACTCGAATGTAATGGATTGCTATGTAATTGATTCGAATGGAATGGAATCGAATGGAATGCAATCCAATGGAATGGAATGCAATGCAATGGAATGGAATCGAATGGAATGCAGTGGAAGGGAATGGAGTGGAATCAAGCGGAATGGAATGGAATGGAATGGAATTGAAAGGAATGGAATGGAATCGAATGGAATGGACTAGAATGGAATGGATTCGAATGGAATCGAATGGAACAATAAGGAATGCTACCGAATGGAATGGAATGGAATGGAATGGAATGGAATGGAACAGAATGGAATGGAATGGAATGGAATGGAATGGAACAGAATGGAATGGAACTGAATGGAATGGAATGGAATGAAATGGACTCAAATGGAATGGACTCAAATGGAATGCAACCGAGTGGAATGGAATCAAATGGAATGGAATTGAATGGAAATGAAAGTAATAGAATGGAATGGAGTGTAATGGAATAATATGGAATGGAGTGGAATGGAATGCAGTGGACACAAATGAAATGGACTGGAATGGAATGGACACGAATGTAAAGGACTGGAGTGGAATGGACACGAATGGAATGGAAGCGAATGGAATGGAATGGAATGAAATGGAATGAAATGGAATGAAATGGAATGGAAAGGAATAGAATGGAATAGAATCAGTTGGAATAGAATGGAATGGAATGGAGATTAATGGAATTGAATGGAGACTAATGGAATAGAATCAAATGGAATGGCATCGAATGGAATGGACTCGAAAGGAATGTGCTCGAATGGAATGGAATCGAATGGATTGATATCAAATGGAATGGAATGGAAGGGAATGGAATGGAATGGAATTGAACCAAATGTAATGGACTTGAATGGAATGGAATCATATAGAATGGACTCAAAAGCAATGGTCTCGAATTAATTTATAGATATAGAATGGAATCCAATGGAATGCAACTGTATGGAATGGAATAGAATGGAATGGAATCAAATGGAATGGACCAGAATGCAGTGGACTGGAATAAAACGGACTCAATAGTAATGGATTGCAATGTAATTGATTCGATTTCGAATGGAATCGCATGGAATGTAATCGAATGGAATGGAATGGAATGCAATAGAATTGAATAGCATGGAATGCAATGAAACGGAACGAAGTGGAATGGAGTGGAATGGAATGGAATGGAATCGAATCGAATGGAGTGAAATGGAATGGAATGGACGCGAAAGGAATGGACTGGAACAAAATGAAATCGAACGGTAGGAATCGTACAGAACGGAAAGAAATGGAAAGGAATGGAATGCACTCGAATGGAAAGGAGTCCAATGGAAGGGAATCGAATGGAATGAAATAGAATGGAATGGAATTGAATGGAATCGAAAGGAATAGAATGGAATGGATCGTTATGGAAAGATATCAAATGGAATGGAATTGACTCGAATGGAATGGATTGGAATGGAACGGACTCGAATGGAATGGACTGGAATAGAATGGATTGAACGGAATGGACTGGAGAGGAATGGACTCGAATGGAAAGGACTGGAGTGGACTTTACTCGAATTGAATGGAAATGAATGGAATGGAATAGAATGGACTTTAAAGGAATAGAATGGAATGGAATTGGATAGAATGGAATGGAATGGAATGGAATGGAATGGATTTAAATGGAGTGGAATATAATAGAATTGAATGGAACGGCAACGAATGGAATGGAGTGGAATGGAATGGAATGGAGTGGAATGGAATAAAATGGCATGGACTCGAAAGACATGGACTCTAATGGAATAGAAATGAATGGAGTGACATCGAATGGAATGGATTGCAATGGAATTGAATGGAATGGACCCAAATAGAATGGACTCAAATGGAATGGACTCACATAGAATGGACTCGAAAGGAATGGTCTCGAATGGAATTTATTTGAATAGAATGGAATCGAATGAAATACAATAGTATGGAGTGGCATCGAATGGAATGGAATCGAACGGAATGGACCGGAATGGATTGGACTGGAATAAAACGGACTCGAATATAAAGCATTGCAATGCAATCAATTCGAATGGAATGGAATCGAATGGAATGGAATGGAACGGAATGGGCCGGATTGGAATGGACTGGAATAGAACTCAAAAGCAATGGATTGCAATGTAATTGATTCGAAATTAATGGAATCGAATGGAATGTAATCAAAAGGAATGGAATGGAATGCAATGGAATGTAATAGAATGGAAAGCAATGGAATGGAACACACTGGATTCGAGTGCAATGGAATTGATTGGAATGGAATCGAATGGAATGGATTGTCATGGAATGGACTCAAGTGGAATGGACTGTTACAAAATGGAATGGAATAGGGATTCGAACGGAATGCAATGGAATGGAATGGACTTGAATGGAATAGAGTCGAATGGAATGGAGTCGAATGGAATGTAATCGAATGGAATGGAATCAAATGGAATGGAATTGAATTGAATTGTAAGGAACAGAATGGAATGGGGTGTTATTGAAAGATATCGAATGGAATGGAATGGAGTGGAATGGACTTGAATGGTATGGACTGGAATGGAATGGACTGGACTGGAGTGGACTCGAATGGAATGGAAACGAATGGAACGGAATGGAATGGATTGGAATAGAAAGTAATAGAATGGAATGGAATCGTTTGGAGGGGAATGGAATGGAATGGAGTCGAATGGAATAGAATTGAATGTAATGGCATTGCATGGAATGGAATGGACTCAAATGGAATGGACTTGAATGGAATAGGGTGGAATGGAATGGCACCGAATGGAATGGAATGGAATGGAATGGAAAGGAATAGAATGTTCACAAATTTATTGGACTCAAATGGAATGGAGTCAAATAGAATGGACACGAAAGGAATTGTCTCGATTGGAATTTATTCGAAAACAATGGAATCGAATGGAATGCAATAGTATGGAATGGTATCGAATGGAAAGGAATCGAATGGAATGCACCAGAATCGAATGAACTGGGATAGAACAGACTCGAATGTAATGGACTGCAATGTAATTGATTCAACTGGAATGGAATACAATGGAATGTAAACAAATGGAATGGAATGGAATGGAATGGAATGCAATGGAATGGAATAGAAAGGAACGCAAAGGAATGGAACGGAGTGGAATTGAGTGGAATGGAATCGAATGGAGTGGAATCAAATGAATTGCACTGGAATGCAATGGACTCGAATGGAATGGACTGGAAAAAAATGGAATCGAACGGAATGGAATAGAACATAAAGAAATGGAATGGAATGGATTGCAATGGATTTGAAAGAAATTGAGTCGAATGTAATGGAATTGAATTGAATGGAATAGAATAGAATGGAATTGAATGGACTTTAAAGGAATACAAGGAATGGAGTGTAATGGAAAGATATCGAATGGAATGGAATGGAATGGAATGGAATACACTGGAATGGAATGCACTGAAGTGGAATGGTCTCCAGTGGAATGGAATGGAATGCAATGAAATGGAAAGGAATAGAATTGAATGGAATCCGATGGAACTGAATGGAAAGGAATGGAGCCGGATGGAAAAGAATCAAATTGAATGGCATCGAATGGAATGGGATGGAATGGAATAGACCCAGATGTAATGGACTCGAATGGAATGGACTCAAATTGATTGGACTCGAAGAAATGGTTTCGAATAGAACTTATTTCAATAAGATGGAATCCAATGGAATGTACAAGAATGGAATGGAATCAAAGGGAATGGAATTGAATGGAATAGACCAGAATTGAATGGACGGGAACAGAACGTACTCGAATGTGATGGATTGCAATGTAATTGATTCGAATGGAATGGAATAGAATGGAATTGAATGGAATGGACCATAATGCATTGGACTTTAATAGAAAGGGCATGAATGTAATGCATTGCAATGTAATTGATTCGAATGGAATGGAATCGAATGGAATGTAATCCAATGGAATGGAATGGAATGCAATGGAATGGAATAGAATGGAATGCAATGGAATGCAACGGAGTGGAAATGAGTGGAAAGGAATCGAATGGAATGGAATCGAATGGAATGGACTGGAATGGAATGGACTCGAATGGAATGGAGTCGAATGGAATGTAATCAAATGAAATGTAATCAAATGGAATTGAATTGAATGGGAACCAAAGCAATAGAATGGAATGGACTGTAATGGGAAGATATCGAATGGAATGGAAAGCAATGGACTCTATTGGAATGGACTGGAAGGGAATGGACTCGAATGGAATGGACTTCAGTGGAATGAATTCGAATGTAATGGAAACGAATGGAATGGAATGGAATGCAATGGAATGGAATTGAATGGAATACAATGGAATGGAATCGGATGGAACGGAATGGAAAAGAATAGTGTCAAAAGGAATAGAATCGAATGGAATGGCATTGAATAGAATGGAATGGAATGTACTCGAATTTAATGGACTGGAGTGAAATGAATTCGAATGGAATGGACTGGAGTGAAATGAATTCGAATGGAATGGACTGGAGTGGAATGGACTCGAATGGAAAGGAAACGAGTGGAATGGAAAGGAATGGAATGGCTTGAAATGGATAAGAAATGAAAAGAATGTAATGGAATCGGATGGAATGGAATTGAATGTATTGGAGTCGAGTAGAACAGAATTGAATGGAATAGCGTCAAATGGAATGGAAACGAAAGGAATGGAATCGAATGGACTCAAATGTTATGGAATCAAAGGGAATGCACTCAAAAGAAATGCTCTTGAATGGAACTTATTCGAATATAATTTAATCGAATGGAATGCAATAGTATGGAATGGAATCGAATGGAATGGAATAGAATGGATTGGAACGAAATTGAATGGAACGGAATAGAATAGACTCGAATGTAATGGATTGCTATGTAATTGATTCGAATGGAATGGAATCGAAGGGAATGCAATCCAGTGGAATGGAATGCAATGCAATGGAATGGAATCGAATGGAATGCAGTGGAAGGGAATGGAGTGGAATCAAGTGGAATGGAATGGAATGGAATGGAATTGAAAGGAATGGAATGGAATCGAATGGAATGGACTGGAATGGAATGGATTCGAATGGAATCGAATGGAACAATATCGAATGGTACCGAATGGAATGGAATGCCATGGAACGGAATGGAATGGAACAGAATGGAACGGAACTGAATGGAATGGAGTGGAATGGAATGGAGTGGACTCAAATGGAATGAAACCGAGTGGAATGGAATCAAATGGAATGGAATTGAATGGAAGTGAAAGTAATAGAATGCAATGGAGTGTAATGGAATAATATGGAATGGAATGGAATGGAATGCAGTGGACACAAATGGAATGGACTGGAATGGAATGGACACGAATGGAATGGACTGGAGTGGAATGGACACGAATGGAATGGAAGCGAATGGAATGGAATGGAATGAAATGGAATGGAAAGGAATAGAATGGAATGGAATCAGTTGGAGTAGAATGAGTTGGAGTAGAATGGAATGGAATGGAGATTAATGGAATTGAATGGAGACTAATGGAATAGAATCAAATGGAATGGCATCGAATGGAATGGACTCGAATGGAATGTGCTCGAATGGAATGGAATCGAATGGATTGATATCAAATGGAATGGAATGGAAGGGAATGGAATGGAATGGAATTGAACCAAATGTAATGGACTTGAATGGAATGGAATCATATAGAATGGACTCAAAAGCAATGGTCTCGAATTGAATTTATAGATATAGAATGGAATCCAATGGAATGCAACTGTATGGAATGGAATAGAATGGAATGGAATCAAATGGAATGGACCAGAATGCAGTGGACTGGAATAAAACGGACTCAATAGTAATGGATTGCAATGTAATTGATTCGATTTCGAATGGAATCGCATGGAATGTAATCGAATGGAATGGAATGGAAGGCAATAGAGTTGAATAGAATGGAATGCAATGAAATGGAACGAAGTGGAATCGAGTGGAATGGAATCGAATGGAGTGAAATGGAATGGAATGGACGCGAAAGGAATGGACTGGAACAAAATGAAATCGAACGGTAGGAATCGTACAGAACGGAAAGAAATGGAACGGAATGGAATGCACTCGAATGGAAAGGAGTCCAATGGAAGGGAATCGAATGGAATGAAATAGAATGGAATGGAATCGAAAGGAATAGAATGGAATGGATCGTTATGGAAAGACATCGAATGGAATGGAATTGACTCGAATGGAATGGACTGGAATGGAACGGACTCGAATGGAATGGACTGGAATGGAATGGATTGAACGGAATGGACTGGAGAGGAATGGACTCGAATGGAAAGGAAACGACTGCAATGGAATGAAATGGAATGACGTGAAATGGATAAGAAATGAAAAGAATGTAATGGAATCGGATGGAATGGAATTGAATGTATTGTAGTCGAGTAGAACAGAATTGAATGGAAGGGCATCAAATGGAATGGAAACGAAAGGAATGGAATTGAATGGACTCAAATGTTATGGAATCAAAGGGAATGGACTCAAAAGAAATGGTCTTGAATGGAACTTATTCAAATATAATTTAATCGAATGGAATGCAATAGTATGGAATGGAATCGAATGTAATGGAATCGAATGGATTGGAACGAAATCGAATTGAACGGAATAGAATAGACTCGAATGTAATGGACTGCTATGTAATTGATTCGAATGGAATGGAATCGAATGGAACGCAATCCAATGGAATGGAATGCAATGCAATGGAATGGAATCGAATGGAATCCAGTGTAAGAGAATGGAGTGGAATCAAGTGGAATGGAATGGAATGGAAAGGAATTGAAAGGAATGGAATGGAATCGAATGGAATGGCCTGGAATGGAATGGACTCGAATGGAAGTGCTCGAATGGAATGGAATCGAATGGATTGATATCAAATGGAATGGAATGGAAGGGAATGGAATGGAGTGGAATTGAACCAAACGTAATGGACTTGAATGGAATGGAATCATATAGAATGGACTCAAAAGCAATGGTCTCGAATTGAATTTATAGATATAGAATGGAATCCAATGGAATGCAACTGTATGGAATGGAATAGAATGGAATGGAATCAAATGGAATGGACCAGAATGCAGTGGACTGGAATAAAACGGACTCAATAGTAATGGATTGCAATGTAATTGATTCGATTTCGAATGGAATCGCATGGAATGTAATCGAATGGAATGGAATGGAAGGCAATAGAGTTGAATAGAATGGAATGCAATGAAATGGAACGAAGTGGAATCGAGTGGAATGGAATCGAATGGAGTGAAATGGAATGGAATGGACGCGAAAGGAATGGACTGGAACAAAATGAAATCGAACGGTAGGAATCGTACAGAACGGAAAGAAATGGAACGGAATGGAATGCACTCGAATGGAAAGGAGTCCAATGGAAGGGAATCGAATGGAATGAAATAGAATGGAATGGAATCGAAAGGAATAGAATGGAATGGATCGTTATGGAAAGACATCGAATGGAATGGAATTGACTCGAATGGAATGGACTGGAATGGAACGGACTCGAATGGAATGGACTGGAATGGAATGGATTGAACGGAATGGACTGGAGAGGAATGGAATCGAATGGAAAGGAAATGAATGGAATGGAATGGTTTGAAATGGATAAGAAATGAAAAGAATGTAATGGAATCGGATGGAATGGAATTGAATGTATTGGAGTCGAGTAGAACAGAATTGAATGGAATGGCATCAAATGGAATGGAAACGAAAGGAATGGAATTGAATGGACTCAAATGTTATGGAATAAAAGGGAATGCACTCAAAAGAAATGGTCTTGAATGGAACTTATTCGAATATAATGTAATCGAAAGGAATGCAATAGTATGGAATGGAATCGAATGGAATGGAATCGAATGGATTGGAACGAAATCGAATGGAACGGAATAGAATAGACTCGAATGTAATGGACTGCTATGTAATTGATTCGAATGGAATGGAATCGAATGGAATGCAATCCAATGGAATGGAATGCAATGCAATGGAATGGAATCGAATGGAATGAAGTGGAAGGGAATGGAGTGGAATCAAGTGGAATGGAATGGAATGGAATGGAATTGAAAGGAATGGAATGGAATCGAATGGAATGGACTGGAATGGAATGGATTCGAATGGAATCGAATGGAACAATATGGAATGGTACCGAATGGAATGGAATGGAATGGAATGGAATGGAATGGAATAGAACTGAGTGGAATGGAACTGAATGGAATGGAATGGAAGGG